>NC_000020.11:29413577-29447838 GCF_000001405.40 Homo sapiens | reverse complement strand
AGGGAGGGAGCAAGGGACAGAGAAAAGAAGGCAGAGAGAAAAGCGGTCTTCTGCCTCCAGGACCAGCAGGACCTCGCACTCCGGAAAAATGTTGGGTGCCCAGTGCGGGCTAAGTGCTCGGCCCACAGCCGCGTTGGTCTGCGGGGCGCTCACCGGCCCTCCGGATAACCAGCCTGGGTTGCTTCATCCGGGAGCGATTCAGACGAATTTCGTCTCCCAGGGAATGAGAGAATTGCCCAGAGAGCAATGAGCCGAAACTCGGGTGGTTGTCCATTTTTCATCCACATGGTTCACAGATGAGATAGCCCCAGGTTGAGCCTGCAAAGGAGCGCGAGGCCGATAGTCCCGTCCACACAGGAGTCACACTCAGGCCGACTGAAGCTTGGTTTCGGATTCCACGTTGCTTTGCCCTCTGCAAGGGGGCCTGTTGCTCACGTGTCTTACTGGGCTTAAGTCAAGGTGTTATCAGGGCTGTATTGCCCCCACCACCGTCCACCCGCCTTTCTCCAAGGCAAAGCACCTCCAAGTAAACCCACACAGGACCGACGGTCAGAGGCAGAACAGGGCTGGGGAAATTCGGTACCCACATGTAAAAAGAATGAACCTGGGCCATTCACTTATACCATAAGAAAAAATTAACTAACTGGATCAAATACCTAAATGTAAGAGCTAAAACTACAAAATTCTTAGAACAAAATATAGGGGAAACATGTCATACACTGGATTTGGCAGTGTTTTTTTTTTTTTTTTAACAGGACACCCAAAACACAAGAAACAAAAGAAAAATAGATGAATCGGAATCTATCCAGAATACGCAAAGAACAATTCAGCAACAATAACACAAACTACCTGTTTAAAATATTGGCAAAATCCTAAGCAGACATTTCTCTAAAAATTTTGTAAAGTGGCTAATAAGCACATGAAAAGATGCTCAACAAAACTCATCATTAGTGAAATGCAAATCTAACCCCAAATGACATATCGCTTAATACCCATCAGCATAGCTACTACCAAAAGAAAGAAAACAAAACAGAAAATCACAAGTGTTGGTGAGGATGTGGAGCAATTAGAACCCTTGTACACTGTTGGTGGAAATGTAAAATGCTACAGCTGCTATAAAATAACAACATAGTAACTAAAAAATTTACATGTAATGTCACCATACGATCCAGCAATTTCACATCTGGGTATGTAGCAAAAGATAGGAAAGCAAAGACAGAAAATAATACACATACACCTAGGTTCACAGCAGCATTACTCACATCACCAGAAAGCTGTTTGAATTACTCAAGTGTTGTTTGAATTACCATCAATGAATAAATAGATAAAATGTGATTTATACATACAGTGGAATATTATTCAGCTATGTAAAATAAGGAAATTCTGACACATGGTATGTCATGCATGAACCTTAAGGACATTGAGCAAAGTGACACGAGCCAGTCATAAAAGAACAAATACTGAATCATTCCAATTATGAGATACTTAGAGTAAAGAAATTCTAGAAACCCAAGTAGAAGAGTGGTTCCTAGAAGCCTGAGGGGAGTAACAAGGAGCTTATTTAATGGGTATAGAGTTTTGTTTCTGCAAGTTGAAAGAAGGTCCGTATGAATGGGAATGATAGTTGCAAAACAATGTGAATGTAGTTAATTTTTCTGAGCTGCAAACTTACAATAGCTAAAATGGTTAATTTGATGTACACTTTACCACAAAGTAAAAAAAAAAAAAAATTAAATAAACAAACTATAGCTATCTGCAATATCATGAATTAATACCATAACTATAATGTTGCATAGAAGAAAGTCGATGTAAAAGTATACATATTATACAATTTCACTCATATAATATCCAAAAAGTGAACGCAACTGAGGTTCTGGCTTCCAGTAATAATTAAGTAAAGTAATTTGTTGAATACTTCACAGATAACTATAACAAAGCTCTTTGGTCACAGGGCTGCAACACTGCAATCTCAGCATGCACCAGGCTCAGGGAGAGTGCGCTAATATCTGGAGGAAGGGACGAGGCTCCGCACTTCTTGCTGGTCTTGCTGGGAGATGCAGTCTCATAAACGCTCCCAGTCCTTTGGTCACAGGGCTGCAGCACTACAATCCTAGCATGCACCGGACTCAGGGAAAGTGCGCGTCCCTGGAGGAAGAGGCAAGGCCATGCGCCCCTCGGTGGGCTTGCTGGGAGATGTAGTCTCATAAACACTCCCAGCCCTTTCATCACCGGGCTGCAAGACTACAGTCCCAGCATGCACACAGCTCGGGGACAGTGCCCATTACTGGTGGAAGAGACTGGACTGTGGGTGCCTCCTTCTACTTGCTGGGAGATGTAGTTTCATAAAGACTCCCAGACTTTCCGGTCCCGTGGCTACAGGACTACCATCCCAGTATTCACCGGGGTCAGGGACAGTGCGCGTCACTGGAAAAAGAGGCGGGGCTGTGTGCGTCTCCCTAGGTTTGCTGGGAGATATATGCTCATAAACTCTTCCAGCCCTTTCCTCAAAGAGCTGCAGGACTACAATCTTAGCATGCACTAGTCTCAGGGACAATGCGTGTCACTGGAGGAAGAGACCGGGCTGTGTGCGCCTCCCTAGGATTGCTGGAAGATGTATTCTCATAAACACTCCCAACCCTTTGGTCAAAGGGCTACAGGACTACAATCCCAGCATGCGCCAGGCTCCAGGGCGAGGCGCAGAACTGGAAGAAGGGGCAGAGTGGTACGCGCCCCACCTAATATGCTGGGAGCTGTAGTCCGTTAACTGCTCTCAGCCTGTTTGTCGGTAGGCTTCAGAACTATACTCCCAGCATGTACCAGGATCCGGGGTGCATAGCCCTGGAGGGAGGGTTAGAGCGGTGTGGACTTCCCAGAGTCCAAAGCACTCCTGAGTTCTTATGCTATGCCAACTCTTTGCAAGGAGAGTGAGTACACAGGTGCACCTGGAGGGCAGGTCTGGGCTGGGCATTGAGGAGGGTATTACCCTACGAAGACACCTTCCCTTTTCCCAAATGGCCGGTTTGTCCTCACCCGATTGAGCCTATCCTTCTCAGGTTCCTCTTTCAATTGCACCCAGGGTTCTTTCCAGAGCATTACGTCTTCTGCAGCCCTAGGCGCTGCCTTCTTTCCTAAACTGCTGTGGAAACTTTCCTGATGTCTGAGACACAGTCGATTGTGCCGCAACCCTCATTTTTCTCTAGCCAGAGCATGCACTTAACCGTTTTTGAGAGAAATCTTTCACCTGGCCTGCTTGTGAGCAGCTTCAGAGCTCTGCAGGGGGTGACAAGGGCTGTGGCTTCCTGGAAATGTCACTCTCAAAGTCGCCTTTTTCACAACTGTGAAAGTCTAGTCATCAGAAGGTTAATTATTGGGTCGCACAAAATCTGCTAAGACTCCGAGGCGTGAGTCTTGTGAGCCATTTTCATCAACCCATTTAAGTGGACATGCTCCAAAATGCAACCTGAAGTTGCTGACTATTTAGGCATTTTACACTTGAAATTAATGGTCTCATCTCAAGTCAGGCCTGGCTTGCCAGTGACTCGGAGCCACATATGGGACCTGATACCTCAGGAACAGATAGTGTTCCAGCTTTATGGGAGCAACTTTTAAGATGTGGAGCACTTGGGGTCATTTGAAACCCGCTATCATCAGTAGGGACTTTTACTTATAAAAAGCATTTGCATTTTGATTTTATCTGTCTTCAACCTGACCCTTTGTTTATTTTAACAGTAAAAAACACATTCCTGGGTGGAGATTTAAGATGCTACTGAGACATGCAATGTATGCACAAATGTGTACAGCTACTGCACTGTGCACCCAGAAGACCAGTCAGAACATGCTTTCTGCAACACTTCTTTCCACCTTCTTATGAATAATCATGCAAAACTCCCATAAAGAGGGTTTCTCCAGCAATAATTAGCTCTGTCTCACTTTTATGAGCAGGCTGCCCTGGAATCTCTTTCTCAGACCGTACCGTCTATTCTGCACTTAATTTTCAAAATATTCTCTTTTTTTGCAATAAATTATGCTGTACTTCTTTTGCTGTGTGTCTCTTAAACTAAGAAGATAAGAAACAAGGTATTACATCAGCCATCAACATTTCTGGTACCATGACCTGGGGAGAGTTTTGTCTGCTTCATTAATTTCAGTTTCCCTTTTCTTGCAGTGAATACTATGGCAGTTCCAGACTCCCTGGTTAACTATCGCTGCTTGTTCCAGTGCTATTTCAGTAAAGTTCTTGGGGAAACGTTTTTAAGTCAACTATATTCTTTAGAGAGAGAATATATGTCCGCTCTCCTTTTGGCTGCTGCTTCTGTGGTATCGATAAATACACTAACCACATGTGTTGCCCTCAATATTTCATATTTGGGCTGCTTTGCCGCTTAGTTTCACATCTTTCTGGCCACAGTTCAGACTCCGCTTATTGTTTGCTGTCCCTTCAGCAATACTCCATCGCCACCTAGTGGTCATTGTAATGTATTTTTCTGGTCAGGTTTTCTGTTTACAAAAATGTTTGTTTTGTTTTGAGCAGCACATTAAGAGAACCCTGTCCCTTCAGGCTTTATGCATTTCCCACCTCCTTGAAATTGTTCTCCAGCAGGCTTTCTTTGCTGAACAAAAGATGCACAGTCATGCAGATGCCTAGTCGTAGGGATTGCATCTGAGCATTCCAGATGTTGTAATTGGGCATCACAAATGACAAACCAGTGAATTAGGGCAAGGCTTGTTAGCCAGACATCTGCCCCCCAGCCCGCAGTGGGGGTCATCTCGGTAGGGCTGGAGATGTCCACCGCTGGGGGTAGATAGGATGGTGTATGGCAAATGCCTATGACCTCCTAGAGCTTCAGTTAATGGGGTTTCAAGGGGATGCGCTGGACACCTTGGTGGTTCCACTTGGCTCATGGGGATGCCCACAGCCTCCTGGACTTCAGTAAATGTTCTGTCGTTGCAGGATTCTCTCGGCACCGTGGGAGCCGCTTCCTCTACTGTCACTGAAACATCCCTGGGATGTATATCTAAAAATTAGAACAGCTTTTGGCTAAATGAACTTAGAAAAAAGAAAACCTTATCTTCTTTTGTAACACTATTTTGCCTGCCTACAGATTAGCTGACAAAACATGGCTGGAGAATGAGACTGTGAACTTTAACTCCATCCTACAGCTAGATCTTTTCTGTAATAATCAGGGAAAATGGTCTTAAGTATCCTATGTGCAAGCCTTTCTGGCCTGACAACAAAATCCAGCTCTATGCAGCACCTGTAGGCTAAAGCCTAGTAAGCCAGAAAGCCCCTCAGAACAATTGGAAGATCATCTCTTATTAAGGGGAAGGGACCCCAGACCCCACAGCCCAACACCAGCTCCAGACAGGGGCCCTCAGGGGCCTACACCTCCTTTAGAATCCCCAGCATCCCCACACTATCAGAGTCTTCTGTAGAATCTAAGCTTGTTTCACCTCCTCCTTATGCTCCTCTCTATTGGCCTTTGCCAGGTACAATAGAGACCAGCCCAGCTGCAGTTACTCACAGTGGGACTTCACACCATCCAGGGCCAGAGAAATTGCTCCCCTTACAGAAAGTCCCAAATGGAGAGAGGACCATCAGAGTGCTTGTTCTACTCTCAATAAATGATCTAATCCAATATAAGCAACAACTCTTATGGCCCTCAGACAACTTCAGCGCATTTACTGAAGGCTTCCAGGCTCTAACTTTGACCACCATTCAACTTCACCATCCATAAATGGACCCAATGACTGCTGCCAACTCAGCTGCACAAAATTTTGCTTATTAGCAAAAAAATAGAAAATACTTAAAACATTTGTTGCTCTCACCATTTTAATGCAAAATACTTTTGCAGCATAAATGTCACCGTAAGGTGGAGCCTTGGGAATCCAGTATAAACTATCTCAGAAAACCTCAATGGGTCCGCAACAAGCAGCAGAGGGCCTCAATAGACTTCAACAACGTCTGGACTCCATGGCCACTGTAGATCGACAAAAGCAAAGAGCCTGGGATCTTCTCCCAGCCGGGCAAAGAGGAAAATGTTTATATCTAAAAGAACAATTCTGTTTTTGAGATCAATCAGCCCGGTTTAGTCCAAGAAAATATTAATAATATCATCACCCAGGCAGACAAAATTGAATCTCTAGGAACTTCCATGGGAACATGAAAGCAATGTCTATTACCTGCCTTACTTTCTTTAATAGTAACAGTCATTACTATACTTTTAGCTTTTACTTTTGTTCCAATTTTGTTTAAAATGTTAACTGATTCCTTGCTCTCTTGCTTATAGCAACTCCATGTTTGCATGATTGTTTTGCAAGGCTTTCAACATTTGGCTGTCAACAACTTGCCCACTGGTTCCACAATTACATGGTTTACACCCGGTTAGATCACACAGGAAGAAACTTTAGGGCCCAGACTAGGCAGAAATATCACCCACTCATCAGGAAACAGCTCCAGAAAAAGTGACCTAGCCCCTCAATGTCCAATATGATTATGACTCTAAGATCTCTTAGGGGGAAACTGAGGCAGAATAGATCAGAATAGATAGTCAAGAAAATGACCATGATCTCGGGTTACAGAAATGTGGGGAAAAGAAAGAGAGATCAGACTGTTACTGTGTCTCTGTAGAAAGAAGTAGACATAAGAGACTCCATTTTGCTCTGTACTAAGAAAAATTCTTCTGCCTTGAGATGCTGTTAATCTGTAACCCTAGCCCCAACCCTGTGCTCACAGAGACTTGTGCTGTGTTGACTCAAGGTTTAATGGATTTAGGGCTATGCAGAACGTGCTTTGTTAAAAAAGTGCTTGAAGGCAGTATGCTTGTTAAATTTCATCACCACTCTTTAATCTCAAGTACCCAGGGACACAATACACTGTGGAAGGCCACAGGGACCTCTGTCTAGGAAAGCCAGGTATTATCCAAGGTTTCTCCCCATGTGATAGTCTGAAATATGGCCTCCTGGGAAGGTAAAGACTTGACCATCCCCCAGCCGGACACCCATAAACTGTCTGTGCTGAGGAGGATTAGCAAAAGAGGAAGGCCTATTTGCAGTTGAGATAAGAGGAAGGCATCTGTCTCCTGCTCATCCTTAGGCAATGGAATGTCTCAGCGTAAAACCCGATTGTATGTTCTATTTACTGAGACAGGAGGAAACCGCCTTAGGGCTGGAGTTGAGACATGCTGGTGGCAATACTCTTTTTAATGCACGGAGATGTTTGTATACATGCACATCAAGGCACAGCACCTTTTCTAACCTTGTTTATGACACAGAGACATTTGTTCACATGTTTTCCTGCTGACCCTCTCCCCACTATTACCCTAGTGTCCTGCCACATCCCCCTCTCCAAGATGGTAGAAATAGTGATCAATAAATACTGAGGGAACTCAGAGACCAGTGCCGGCATGGGTCCTCTGTATGCTGGGCGCTGGTCTTTTCTTTCTCTATACTTTGTCTCTGTGTCTCTTTCTTTTCTCAGTCTCTCATTCCACCTGATGAGAAACACCCACAGGTGTGGAGGGGTAGGCCACCCCTTCAATGAAACTGTGGTGACTGTACAGCCAACACAATGAGCCTTAGCATTCGCATTGTAATTGGGCTCATTCAAGCAAAGCTATCTTCATTAAGGACTTTCTGTTCTAGAGAGCATGTGCATTTTGATTTTACCTGTCCTCAAACTTAACTTTTGCTTATTTTAATAGCAAAAAATACACCCCCCAGATGGGCACAGTGGCTCACACTTGTACTCCCAGCACTTTGGGAGGCTGAGAAGAATGGATTGCTTGAAACCAGAAGCTCAAGACTAGACTGGCCAACATAGTGAAACCCCATCTCAACTAAAAATACAAAAATTAGCCAGGTATGGTGGTGCATGCCTGTAATCCCAGCTACTCAGGAGTCTGAGGCACGAGAATGGCTTGAACTCGGGAGGCAGAGGTTGCAGTGAGCAGAGATTGCACCACCACACTCCAGCCTGGGCAACAGAGCAAGACTCTGTCTCAAGCAAACAAACAAAAATACACTCCTGGCTAGAGGTCTAAGATGCTAATGAGACATGCAAAATATGAATAAGCATGTACAGCTACTGCACATGTGCACCCAGAAGACCACTCAGAACAGGCTTACTAGCAGCTCCTCTTCCCCCCTCCTTATTAATAATAATGTAAAACTCCCATAAGGGGGTTTCGCCAGCGACAATCCACGCTGTCTCACTCTTATGAGCAGCCCGCCCTAGAATATCTCTCTCACGGTGTACTGTATTATGCACTTAACTTTCAAAAATTTTGTTTTCTTTTCCAATAAATTATGCTGTACTTCTTTTCTGTGTGTCTTTTGTTTAAATTGTTATAAACTAAGAAGACAAGGACCGAGGTATCACATCAGCTCTCAACACAGCAATAAATCAGCCTCCTTCCTGTGGGCATAGTCCATGCAGAAAAGCAGTCACATCACCTAGGTGCTGGACCCAGAGATACATCACAATTTATCCTATGCACAAAGTTAAAGTAATAGAGGAGAGTCATATTAAATAGTTTCTGGGCCCAGGGATATGTCACAATGGCTCCTGTGAGCAGAGATCAGGCAGAATAATCACATAACCGGTGTGCTGGACACAGCAATAAGCCACCCTTTCATCTGTGGGCATGACCCAGGCAAGAAAGAAGAGTCACAGCATTTAGGTGTTTCCTGCAGAGGTACGTAACAATCTCTCTTATGGGCAAAGCCCAGGTAAGAGAGGAGAGTCACATCTCCAAGGTGATTAACATAGAAATATGTCACATGAAACTTTTTAGACAGGGCCCATACTGGATCTTCTTATCTTCCAGATGTTAGGTCCAGGGATATGTCAGAATACCCAAAATACACAGGGCTTAGTCAAAAAAGGAGAGCCACATCACCTAGGTGCTGGGTCTAGACATATGTCACGTCTCTTTTACGGGAAAAGCTCAGGTGAAAAAGCAGTTCACATCAAATAGTTGTTAGGCAGAGAGATATGTCACGTTGCCTCCTGCTAGGCCAAAGACTCACATCACCTTGGTGCTAGGCCCGTGTTCACGTATAAATATTCAACCAGAGTTGAAATGGTGGGTCATTTCTAAGCCCAGCTTATAGATAAGGGAGGAGTCTCCTATCCTGACCTAGTTAATTGTAATGACGTTGACTCTCATACCCGGGCTTAATGCCACAGGTACGATTACGGGTCCCTACCAGCAGGAAGGTCTCAAAGTTGATTGCAACTCTCATTCATACTGTATAGCGCCATTGGGTAGTACACAGAGATTGCTAACTGGGCCGAGCACACAGGTGAGATTGTGGCACTCATATGCACACCCAGCCAACAGTAAATATTCTCATCCTCTCACAGGAACACAGGTCACTGTTGAGGTTCTGAATCTCAC
Source organism: Homo sapiens (assembly GCF_000001405.40). Lineage (NCBI taxonomy): Eukaryota > Metazoa > Chordata > Mammalia > Primates > Hominidae > Homo > Homo sapiens. Next base: position 29,438,440 of record NC_000020.11, on the reverse strand, counting down.
ACCTGTAGTCAGTCAAAGGTGGGAAAAATTGACTTATATATGGATACTCATGGGTTGGTGACTCTCAGACCAAGATTCAACATAACTGTGAGGCTGTGACTTCAGTCTGCAGAGGAATTGAGGCTGTCATGTACAAATCCAGTCTGTTGTTGAGATGGTTACTCGTGGGCTTAGACCCAACATACAAGAGGTGTTGAATGTCATGCCTACAACTGTGACAGTTGTGGGATTGTTAATCTCATTCCCGGACCATTCTGCAGGTTTCATGATGAAATTTCCCAGTGCCTAGCACCTGAGTGACTTGACGCTCTTGCATGGACCCAGCCCACAGATGGAATATTAACATATTGCTGGATCCAGCACCTTGAGGGTGTAACTCTATTCTCCTTCCTTGGCACTGCCCACAGTGAGCATTTTGACATATCGCTAGACCTTGCACCCAGGCGATGTGAGTCTTCTCTTCTGTCTTGGCGCTGCCCACAGGAAGCGTTGTTCTATATAGCTTGGCCTGGCACCCAGGTTATGTGACTCTCCAGCTTGTGCCCATATGGGACACTGTGGTATATTGCTGGGTCCGCTACCCAGTTGATGTAACTCCTCTGCCTGGGCCCTGCCTACAAGGGGCACTGTGACAGATCTCTGTGCTCACTGGCCAGGTAATGTGATTCTCTTTTCCTTTCTGGTCCCTTCACACAGAAGGGATTGTGACATGTTGCTGGGCTTAGCACCAAGTTGATGTGAATCTTCTGCCTGGATCAAGTTCACAGAAGGCCTTGTGACATACTTCTGTGTCCACTACCTATTTGATGTGACTCTCCTCTCTCACCTGAGCATTGCCCACAGGAGAGATTGTGACATATCTTTGGGCAAAGCACCAGGATGATGTGACTCTTCTCCCTGCCTCGGTCATGCCCACAGAGGGAAGTGTGACTTATAACTGGGCACGGCACACAGGTGAAGTGATTATTCTGCCTGGTCCCTACCTACAGCAGTCATTGTCAAATACCTCTGGGCCCATCATCTAGACTATGTGACTCTCTACTTCTTCCTAGGGCCTGCTCACATAAGGATTGTGACATATTACTTTGCACAGTACCTACATGATGTGACTTTTCTCTCATGTCTGGGCTCCATCTTGGAGATGAGTGTGACACACAGCTAGGCCTGGCCCCTAGGTTATGTAACTTCTCCTTTTTCAAAATCCTACCCACCAGGGGCATTGAAACATCTCTCTGGGCACTTCACTTAGGTAATGTTACCCTGTTGCCTGGAGCCTCCCCTCAGGTGGTATTGTGACACATTGCTGGACCCAGTACCTATGTGATATACTCTCCTTTCTTGCCTGGGCCCTGTATACATTGTGTATTGTAATATATGGCTGGGTTCAATGACTAGGTGGTGCAATTCTTATGCATAGGCCCTACCCACAGGAACATTGTGACATTTCTTTAGCTCTGACTCTCCTCTTCTGCCTTAGCCCTGCCAAAAACAGAGGTGGTGACATATGACTGGACCTAGCAACCAGCTAATATGACTCTCCTCTTTTGCCTGCACCCAGCATATTTTGGGTACTGTGATGTATCATTTATCTCAAAGCCTGCAGGATGAAAGGCTCCTGCCTGAGCCCAGCCATCAGTAAAAATTATCATTCTCCCACATGGACACAGCCCATAATTGAGGTTCTGAATCTCACACCCAGAGACAGTCAAAAGTTGGAAATTTGGCTCTCATAAGTGGATGTTGTCCACAAGTGGGTTTGTGACTCCCTGACCAAGATCCAAAACACTTGTGAGGCTGTGACTCCACTAAGATAACTCAATTTTCAAAAGGCATTAAGGCTCTCATGGAAAAATCCATTCCACCATTGAGATTGTGACTTATGTACATACATGCAACATACAGGAGGCCTTGACTCTCATACCCAGAACCGGCATTTATGTGGGATTGTTAATCTCACCCAGGGACCTTCCTGCAGGCGAGATTCTCATGTACACCTCTATGTGGGATTGTTAATCTCATCCAGGGACCTTCCTGCAGGTGTGATTCTGATGTACACCTCTATGTACGTTGCAGTGAGCCGAGATCGCACCACTGCACTCCAGCCTGGGCGATAGAGTGAGACTCTCTCAAAAAAAACAACAAAAAAAAAAACAAAAAAAACCAGGTAATGACCTTGCTTCCTGCCTCTGCCTGAAGTTAGGCGTCCCTGAGCTCTGCTGGCACCTAGCAGTCAAAGTGGATGTGGTCAGGGGTCAACTCTCAGCCGAGCACAGGGCCCTTCCCCTCTCGCTACCCCATACAGGTGAAGCTGCTGGTCATGGCTAACCCAGAGCTGCTCTATGTCCCACAGTTCCCTGCTGAACCAGTAATATTTATGGGGTACAGTGTGATGTTTCACTGCATCATACTACATGGTACAGTGTGATGCAGTGAAACATCACAGTGTACTCTGTAAACATGTATAATTATCATATGTTAATTATGATGTTCCTCTGCATTATACTATACGGTAGAGTGAGATGCAGTGAAACATAACATTGTACTCCGTAAACACATATAACTATCATGTGTTAATTACATGATGTTTCACTGCATCATACTACATGGTACAGTGTGATGCATCACACTGTACTCCACAAACATGTAAAATTATATTAATTATATGATGTTTCACTGCATCACATTGTACCCATATACACTGTACAGTGATCCAACCAGAGTAATTAGCATATTTAACACTTTAAACATTTATTTCCTTCTGCTAATAAAGTTCAAAATCCTCGCTTCAAGCTATTATAGAATAAACGTACATTATTATTGGCTATAGTCATCGTGCTGTGTAATAGAACACCAGGATTTATTCTTCCTAACTGTAACTTTGTAACCCGGTGACAAAGCTCTCCCCACTCCCTCATCCTTCTGCCATCTCTAACCTCTGGTAACCACCATCCTACTGTCTACTTCTATGAGATGGACTTCTTCAGATTTCACGTGAGTGAGAGCACATGGTCTTTTTCTTTCTGTGCCTGGCTTATTCCACTTAACATAATGTCCTCTAGGCTCATCCATGTTGACACAAATGACAAAACTTCATTCTGTTTTACAACTGAACATTATTCCTGTGTGTGTGTGCGTGTGTGTGTGTGTGCGTGTGTGTGTATAACATTTTCTTTATTTATTCTGTAGATGGGCACTTATACACTGTTGGTAGGAATGTAAATTAGTACAATCATTCCCATTTCTCTAGGGAGAACAGTATGGAGGTTTTTCAATAAATTATAAATAGAACTACCATATGATCCAGCAATCTCATTGCTGGGTTTATATCAAAAGGAAACAAAATAAGCATGTCAAAAAAGATAACTGCATTCTCATGTTTATTAAGCAGTATTCACAATAACCCAAACCATTATTTCTTCTAAGTATTTCTTAATTTACCTTTTTTTCATATATTACACCCTAAACTTTTAAAGGATTAGTGTCTGGTTTCCAATTTCTGAAACTTATGAGTCACTGATTCTTTGACTGTTGCCTTCCTATTTAGAGAGTCTGGTAAAACAATTAAATGCTTTTTATTTCTTCTCAATCTAATCTTCATATATAAATACATTTATATTTTCTATTAATTTGCCTTCTATAATATATACGACTACATTAATTGTGATCAGCATTTCACTTTACTAGCCCTGTTTTTGGCTCAGCCTATTTTAATATGTCATTTGTATGTTGTACATTAAATTGTTTTACAACACTTTCAATACTTTACTTTTCATTTGCCTCTTTTCCAAAGATAGCTTGACAAGCTCGTAGTTTCTTTCCACATTATTTTGGTTTCTTGTTTCTCCATTATATTGACTTAAACATTTAAATATAAATTCAATATCTGAGATTTATGTGCCATATAATTTCTTCTGATGCTTCACCCCAGTAGCTCATCTCCTTGTGTGCAACATAATTTATAATTTAATCCTCACATATGGGAGACACCACATTCCAATGCCTGCAGGCAGTTTCTCTTTGTTTATTCCATTTGCCTTGTCAGAAGGGAACAACCCACATGGACCTGACATTCTTGTAATCAGACGCATCTGAGTGGAGCCCTGGCTTCTTAGGTTGATTACTTCTCGGGATCATTACCTTTATTTACTTCCAGTCCTGGGAAGTTTTCTTAATTTCCTTTCAACTATATTACACATTCTGTGAATTCTTGTAACTTCTTGGTGATTTTAATTGTCTGCATTAGGTTTTTAAAGTATATTATTTTTCTGAAAAGCAGAAATATCCATAGTTGCATACATGAGTGAAATATTTTACATAGATTTTCTATGGCATCTATCATCATGAGAAATTCCAAGTTTTTCATTTGAAACACCCCTCTCATCAATAGACCATATTGTAATAATTTGTAGAATGTGATTACTTTTATACCATTAGAAAATTAATTATATATTATGTACATATTTTTGAAATACTCCACTGCAATAAATAGTATATGGTCAGAAGCATTGTTTTCTCTAACATAAAACTAATATGAGTAAAATTATCTACCTGAATTCAGACCTTTCGGCTTCAATGGCCATTCTGTCTCATTAGCACTTCTCTGATCCATAAAATACATCATTTGTATTTTTTGTTTAATTCATAATTTATTGAAATGAATAATTTAACATTATAAAGTTTTATGGCAATTTAGGACATTTTCAATAAATATACTGAGCTTGAGGCCCTGGCTAAATATTCCTTTTGCACTCGAAATCAGATTTTTCTGGCACAACTTCATTGCCTGCAATGGTATTTATAAAAAGTATGAATGCCAGCACATGAACTATTTCAATACTGTACTCATTTGTTCATGTACAAACATTTCATTAGCTATGAAACAAACCAAATACAAATGCTGAATGTATAGTATATATCAACAAATTCAGATTCTTCACCGAAGAAAACAATAAAAGACAAATTTTCTGTGACATGTCACCTGTTCATTAGTTCTTTAATATGATTTAGACTATTCCAAATATAAGAAAATATACGCATCACTATTCATGTTGTCTCAATATTTTTTATCTAGGTCCTGAAGGGCATAAACAAGAATGTATATTGTCAGATTTATTTTTGTAGAATTTAGATGTTTCTTTTGCTGTATTTTCTGTGCATACTACTATGAATATATGGAGACAAGGACAAATGAGCATTTAAGTGGTTATAAGAATTTTGCTTATATGGCTAATTGCTTATATGGATGTTGTAAATGACAAGATAAAATAGTAAAGTTTGATAAACTTATCTGTGCCCTGTGAACTTTAGTTCACTTACTGTATAAATTAATTCAGTCACTAATAATTAGTTTAAAAAGTGTTTTTTAAAAGCTGCAAACCACATTTTATTACACATTTCTGAATCAGGAAGGGGTAAACCATGACACAGCTTTCTTGTGCCACTGACTTTTTGGGGGAGAGACATTCTGCAATAAGAGTTTCCAAACTCTATTTATAAAAAAGCTTGAGTTTTCTTTTGTGATTAACCTTCACTCCTCAGTCCCTTTTACCCAAGGAATGGTTCCTAGGTCATCTTTTTGAAGTTTAGTTTCTGGAAAGTTTTCAGCAAACCTCTCCTGTGCTTTGTCCCAGTTGTTGTTCTTGTTGTTGTTGTTCTTGTTTTGGAGAAGGTGAGTCTCTTTAATTGAGGATGGTTTGTCTGTCTGCGATCCTGCATGTATTTGCCGAAGCTGAAGCTGTATTGGAGTTTTCATTCTTCCACCATCCTTCCCCAGGCCTTCTCCTGTTTTCAACACATCTTTTTCAACATCTTCTGACCTTTGTCGCCATCAGTAATTTCAGAATGAACAGATGCAGGAGCATCATCTCTTTGGAAATTTCCTTCACTTCCAATCTGCTCCCTATGTTTTCCAGCTCTATCTTTACATTTTTGATTCTCCAGTATCTTATCATCTATGTAGTCTGTATTCTGTAAACCATATTTTACTCATATATTTTTAAAATCCTTTTCTTCTTTCCAACTAGTTTCCTTCTTAGTTAATGATGGACCAACAAATGATTCATCTTTTTTATCAAGGAAAAGGTGAGCTCTAACCTGCCCTGGTTCACATCCAACACAGCTATTACTGCCAGGGTGAATGTAATAAGATAACACAGTGTCTCCAATTTTCACTTTATCTCCATGCTCAGGTTCATAAGGGTCACATTTAGTTTTCAGCTGAACCATCCATTTTACATTAACAATTGTTCCATTTTGACTGCCTGATCCAAAAGGACATAACTTTGTAAGTCATGGTCAAAATAAATTTCTTCATGAAACTTACACCAACTTCAGGGATTAGAAGAGTATGCTCCATGTCATTTTCTCTTCCAATTGTAGCAGATTTTACAGCAGTAATGATGCAGAATGATCCTGTCTGTAACACAGGTGATGTAATGACAATTACTCTCATATATGAGGGCCACACTTTTTCCTCATCTTCCTCCTCAGTATCTTTTGCAGTTGCATTGCCTTTACTGGTAATACCTTCATCATAACTACCCTCGGTCTGAGAGTCTGTAATTTCGCCTTCTTCTGTTTCACTATCAGTCTCTGTCATTTTCTCATCCTTAAAGATGAATTGAGATGTTTTCATTAGGAGGAGATTCCATAGTATTTCCACTAACTGGAACAGTGAATTTTGGGGGATTATTTTTGTGATGAATGATTATTTTGGCTTTTTTTTTTCAGATTTGTGAAATTGTCTTTCCCATTGCAGCTTGTATGTTCAACACTGAAGGCTTCTTGATCCTCTGAATTCAAATCCTTTTCCTCTTTTTTTTTTTTTTTGTAGATGAATCTGGATCCTTTCTTTTCTCAATTTTTTTATTTTTGTTTTGTGCTATAAGTCTGATAATGTGGCAAAACTACTTGAGAATGAAACCGATAGCTACCACTTTCCACATCACAGTAGTAATAAATTAAATCATAATATATTTGATTCTCAGAATCTTAATAGAAACCAGTGCTGTGGTCAAAATACAGTCCAGTATTTTCATCATAACTAAATCCAGTCTGTGATAAAGCCGCTTCTGCTGCAGCTCTCAAACTTCCAGCTAATGATGAACCTTCTAAGGACGTATCTTGTGCTGCTAATGCAGATGCTGGCTCCTGTGAATTTGAGGCAAATGACTCTCTTGTCTACATTTAACATTTGGTGTCCTATCAGTACCAGGGTAAGCATCATTTTCTATTTATAACTGGTCGTTAGAATTCAAAGCAAGAGTTTCAATATCCTGATCTTGCTGATTTGACAGTTCAGTCACTCACTTTATTTGGAAGACTAACATCATTAGAGTAGGTCTGATAATAATCTGAGATTGACCAAGGAGCATGGTTCTCTGCGAGTACTTCTACATCAGACTTTTATTATCTCCATTTATCCCACAGCGGAGTACATTACTGAGTTCTTCCAGCTGCGTGCGGAGCTCCTGGCGGTTGCTCGTGTCGCTCTGAGCAGCCGTCCTGTGCGAGGCCATAGCTTCTCCCGTTCCCGCACCTGCCGCCCGCAGCTCAGCGTTCGGGTTCCAGCTTCTCCGTCCTCCTTCTCCGCTGGGCCAGCTCGGGCTCGGCGAGGGGGAGGAGCGGCCACAGCGAAGGCGCTGGCTGCGGGTACCGGCCCGAGGCTGTGAGTTCGGGCCCCAGACGGCTGCGGCCCCGGAGGGGCTGCGCGGGGCCGAAGCGGGGGCCGGCTGAACCACAGCCACGGGGGCGCGCGGGCAGCCACAGGCAGCCTCCCCGGCCAGGAGGCCCCGAAACGCGGAGCCTAACGGGGCTGCGGCAAGAGCAAGGGGACGGCGATGGCCCTGCCGGATCTGCGCCCCCTGGAATCCTGGGAACGACTGTACCTTCCCCAGCCACGGGGGCCGCAGGAGGAGCGTTGAAGTCCAGGGGCCAGAAGCGCTCCGGCAGTTCCCGAGTTGAGCTGGAAACAGTGGCCAAGCGCGTTTTAAATTGAGTTTCCCTGTGGCTAGATATGACCTGCTGGTTACTCTTATTTTTTTCTCCATTCGTTGAGCTATGGTTGACAAATTGAAAAGTGTATATTTTTAGGGTGTACAATAGAGTGTTTTGAGATATCAGTAGTCTTTAAATTACCTCAGTTAAGCTAGTTAGCCTATCTATCCCCTCAGATAGTTAATACGTTTCTGTGTGTGTGGTGAGAGCACCTGAGATCTACTCTTGTAGCAAATTTCAAGTACAGAGTATTGTTAACTATAGTCACTATTCTGTACATTAGGTCCCCAGCAGTTACTCACCTTGTAACTGAAGGTGCGCCCCTTCCATGGATATCTCCCTACTTTCCCCACTTCTTAGCCCATGGGAACCACCGTTCTACTGTTTCCATGGCTTTTTAAATTTTTATTTACTTTTTTAGATTTTACATACAAACGAGATCATGCAGTAGTTGTCTTTCTGTATTCGGCTTATTTCACTGAGCATAATGTCTTCAAGATTTATCAATATTGTTGTGGATGAGTTTCATTTTTATTAAAGCTGAAATTATGTATCTCTCAGTTTATTTATCTGTATCAGAGGAGTGCAGATACCCTTGATGATCCTGATTTTATGTCCTTTGGCTATATACTCCTAATTGGGATTAGTGGTAGTTCTAGTTTAAAAATTTTAAGGAACCTCCATACCGTTTTTCATAATAGCTGCACCAATTGACATCCTCAGCAACAGTGCACAAGTGTTCTCTTTTTCCACACCCTAACACTTTTTATCTTTTGACTTTTTGATAATAGGCATCCAAACACCACGATAAGGTGATACCTCATTGTGATTTTGATTTTAATTACTCTGATAATTAGTGATGTCAAGCATTTTTTATACACCTGCTGGCCATTTGTATATCTTTGGAAAAACTGTTATTTATATATTTTGCCCAATTATTAATCAAGAAATTGCTTTTAATTCTGCTGTGGGTTTTTTGTATTGATTAGTATGACATATATTTTGGATAGTAACATATTATCCTACATATGGTTTACAAATATTTCCTCCCATTTCCTATAATGCCTTTACATTTTGTTGTTTCCTTTATTGTGCAGAAAATTTTAACTTTGACATAGTTCCACTTGTTCATTTTTGCTTTTGTTGACTGTGTTCTTGGTGTCATATCCAAAACATCATTGCCATGACCAGTGTCAAGGTTTTTCCCCATTTTTTTTTAGAGGATTCATGATTTCAGTTCTTATGTTTAAGTCTTTATTTCATTTCAAATTCATTTTGTGATGACGTGAGAGAAAGGTTCACTTTTTTCTGTGCATATCTAGTTTTTCTTACACCACTCCTTGATGTGTTTATCCTTTCTCCATTCTGTGGGACTGGTCGACTGTATATTTGCGAGTTTATTTCTGGATCCTCTATTCTGTTCTATTGGTTTTTATGTAGGTACAATACTATATTGATGACTACAGCTTTGTAATATAGTTTGAAATCAGGAAGCGTAAGGCTTTCAGCCTTTTTGTTCTTCTCAGTATTTGGCTATTTGAGGTCTTTTGTGGTTCCATACTAATTTTAAAATTGTTGTTCTACATTTTTAATAAAATGGCATTAAAATTTTGATAGAAATTTAACTCTGTAGACCACTTTGTGTAGTATGGATATTTTAATATTAATTTTTAGAATCCATGAACACAAAATATATTTCCCATTTTGTATTTTTCATTTTCTTTCCTCAACATTTTATAGTTTTCAGTATGCAGATCTTTCACACTTTGTTAACTCATTCCTAAGCATTTCATTCTATTTGATAATATTGTAAATGGAACTATCTTTATTCCTGTTTCAGATATTTTGTTGTTACTGTAAAAAAATGCCACTGATGTTCATATGTTAATATTGTATCCTGAAAATTTACTGACTTAGTTGGTTAGTTATAACAGGTTTTTTTTTTTTTTTCTGGTAAAATGGTGGGTATTCTGAATTCTGGTTAAATTGATAGTTGCTATTATCATTTCAAAATTATTTAAAATATGACCAGATGGATTCCTACTTTCATGAATTCAATGGAATTCCCATTTAAAATAATTTTGTCTGGTTGACCTAGGCCCCGGGGATCAGGGGCACCCCGTGAGAGCCCGGAGATTCACGTGGGGGTGGGAGGGAGAAGCCGTCAGAGAGGGGGCTGAGCTGGGGAAGCAGAGAGGGGCTCCGGGGACAGCCGGGAGGAGATAGGGTCATGTCGGAGACCCAGTGGGGAGAGATAATGGGCCAGAAAAGGAGGAAGGGTGAGAGTGAGCAACAGGACGGCTTCCCAGCGCGGCAGGGAACTTTGCTGAAACTGCGGGCCCCAGGGAACAGCGCGGGCAGGGTGGGAGGGAGTGGAGAGGACCCAGCACATCCCAAGGTCAGTGTGGAGAAAGGGACATTTCCCGCTTCCTTCGCCTCTGCCCAGCGTTCTGAGGGCATGCCCCCCGCCAGGGGCAGGGCAGGGGGGGAGGTGGCTCCCGGCAGGCTCGGAGAACTAAGGGGCGCACACCCGCTTCGCAGGGCTGGGGTGACAGGGGAAGCCTGAGAGGGCTGCAGATCTCGCTGGCCCAGTGGGTGGGCGCGGGGGACGCGGGAGGGGCTGAGCTCACAGGGCCAGCGCCGGGGCCTGCAGGTGGTCCTGGAGGAATCTGCAAGCACCTGCCCGTGCAGCGGGCCTTCCAGGAGACCAGTGTGGACAGCGCCCTGGACACGCCCTTCCCAGCTGGAACATTTGTGAGGCTGGAATTTAAGCTCCGGCAGACAGAGAAGTGGCCGGAGGAAAGACTGTAAAAACCCAAGTGCAAAGTCCAGCCTGAGAGGAGGAAGCAGGAATGGCTGACCTGCGTCAAACTGGGCTGTGAGGATAAGGTTCTGGGCAGGATGGTTCGCTGCCGTCCAGAGAAGCAGACTCGGCGGGAGCCTGAGGAGCACCAGGAGGCCGGGTGCAGCCGGGCGGAGCGGGCGGTGAGGACCCCACAGCTGCTGCTTCCCTGCACAGTTCGTCTTCTCCAAGGCCCGGCCCCCAGCGGAGCCCAGCACTGAATCGCATGGCGCCCCCTGGAGCCCTGGCGGGGATAACCAGTGGAAGACCCACCTCCCAGGGAGAGGACTCCAGTGTATCCCCAGATAATAAAACTGTTCTCTCCCCACAAAAAATAAATAAATAATTTTGTCTGGTCTTTGAAAATGTGTATCCTCTGTGTTCTGGTCAAAATGCTGCCCATTTATCTATATGCCTAATTAGTCAAACTTTTTAATGAAGTTATTTAACATTCTTTTTTATTATGAAACAAAACAGTAAATTTGTTAATGGTTTTAATATCATCTAATGTGATTGAAAATATGTCAATTTGTCATTGCCAATGAATCTTTGTGTTATTTATTTTACTCTGTTACATATTCTGTACATAAAGGTCTAAGTGGCTTAGAATCTTGCCTAACATATTCTATGTGCTAAGTACTAACTACTCTAATTCATCAAATTATCTTTCTATATCATTCTTAAAATACAATATTATTTTTTATTTATTTTTGTTAATTTTTTTTGCCTAATCTAATTATTTATGAAAATTATGAGGTCTGAACTGAATAGTTTGTCCTCTTGATAAAAGCCAAAGTTTTTTTTTCTCTCTTTTTTTTTTTTTTGAGACGAAGTCTCCCTCTATTCCCCAGGCTGGAGTGCAGTGACAAAATCTCTGCTCACCACAACCTCCGCTTCCCGGGTTCAGGTGATTCTCCTGCCTTAGCCTCCTGAGTAGCTGGGACTACAGGCGTGCTCCACCATGCCCGGCTAATTTTTGTATTTTTAGTAGAGATGGGGTTTCACTATATTGGCCAGGCTGGTCTTGAACTCCTGACCACGTGATCCGCCTGCCTCAGCCTCCCAAAGTGCTGGGATTATAGGCTTGAGCCACCGCCCCAGGTCTTTTTTTTTTAATCTCTTTATTAATACGTTAGAGAGTACAAATGCAGCTCCCTTACAGAAGCATGTTGCATAGGGATGAAGTATGGGCTTTTGGTGTGACAATCATCTGAATGTTGTTTATTGTCCCAATTAGTTATTTTCTCATTCCTAAACCCTCTCCAACCTCCCATCTTTCTGAGTCTCCAGTGTCTATCTTTCCAGTCTCTATATCCAAGTGTATGCATAATTGAGATCCCACTTGCAAGTGAGAAAATACAGATTAGATTTTCTGTTTCTGAGTTTTTTCACTTACAATAATGGCCTCTGGTTTTATTTATGTTGTTGCAAAAGACATGACTTTATTCTTCTTCATGGCTGAGTAACATTCCATGGTATACTTGTATAGCACATTTTCTTTATTCGATTATTGATTGATAAATTTAAATTGATTTCATATATTGGCTATTGTGAATAGTGCTGTGATAAACATGTGAGCATGGGTATTTTCTTTATGTAACAAATTATTTTCCTTTGGGTAGATACCAAGTAGTGGGAATGCTGAATCAAATGGAAGTTCTATTTTTAGTCTATTTTGAAATCTCCATACTGTTTTCCATAGAGATTGCAGAAAGTTACTTTCCCACAAACAATGTATAAGTGTTCTCTTTTCTCTGTATCCTTGCCGATAGCTCATTTTTCTGCTTTTTAGTAATAGCCATTCTGCATGGTGTAAGTTTGTACCTCATTTTGGTTTTTAATTGGCATTTCTCTGATCATTGACAACGTTGAGCATGTTTTACATGCTTGTTGACCATTGACCATCAGTGTCTTTTTTTTTTAATGTTCATGTTCTTTGCTTGCTTTTTAATGAGGTTACTTGTTTTATTTTTGTTGAGCTGTTTCAGTTCCTTGATTATTCTGGACATTAGATCTTTGTTACATGCAATACTGGTAAATGTTTATCTCATTCCATAGGTTTTCTGTTTACTGTGTTAATTAAAAAGCTCATTTTCAGGAGCTTTATAGTTTGAGTTCCTTTTGTCTATTTTTGTTATTGTTACATCTGCTTTTGAGATCTTAGTCATAAATTCTTTTTCCAAGTCAATGTCTAGAAGAGTTTATCCTAGAGTTTCTTCTAGCATTTTTATAGTTTCAGGTCTTACATTTTAGTCTTTTAACCCATATTGAGTTGATTTTTGTATATGGTGAGACATAGGGGTCCCATTCCATACTTCTGCATACGGCAATATAATTTTTCCAGCAAAATTTATTGAATAGGATGTCATTTCTCCAGTGTATGTTTTTGTTGACTTTGTAAAAGATCAGTTGTTTGTAGGTATGTGGCTTTATTTCTAGGTTCTCTATTCTGTACCATTGATCTATGTGTCAATTTATATCAGTACCATGCTGTTTTGGTTACTACAGCCTTCTAGCATAATTTTAAGTCAGATAATGTAATATCTCCAGCTTTATTCTCTTTGCTTAGATTTGCTTTGGCTATTCAGGCTCTTTTTGTGGTTCCATGTGAATTTTAGTGTTTTTTTTCTAATTTTATAAAAAATAACATTGGCAGTTTGGTAGGAATTGAATTTAATATGTAGATTGCTTTGGGCAGTAGAGTCATTTTATTGATCATAATTCTTCCAATCCATGAGCATGGGATGTTTTTCTCATTTGTGTCATGTACAATTTCTTTCATCAGTGTTTTGTAGTTTTCCTTGTAGGGATCGTTCATCTCTTTGACTAATTGTATTTCTAAGCATTTTACCTTTTTTTGTAGCTATTGTAAAAGGAAGTGACTTTTTAATTCAGTTCTCAGCTTGATCATCATTAGTGTATAAAAATGCTACCAATTTTTGTACATTGATTTTTGCATTCTGAAACATTATTAAATTTATTTATCAAATCTAAGAGTTTTTTTGGTGGTCTTCAGAATTTTTGTATATATGATATTATATAATCATCAAAGAGGGACAATTTGACTTTCTAATTACAACCACATAGTTGCTCCCACCAAGACCAATAGACAGAGTCTCTGGGGAGGGCACAGGTGATGGTATTTCTTTAAGCTGGCCATGTGATTATGGCTGGAAGCATGGGCCAGTGGCACCATCTTGGCCCATGGCAACCTCCACCTCCCAGGTTCGAGTGATTCTGCAGTCTCAGCCACCTGAGTAGCTAGGATGATGGGCACCAGCCACCACACCTGGCTAATTTTTGTATGTTTTAGTAGAGACATGATTTGGCCATGTTACCCAGGCTGGTCTTGAACACCTGACCTCAGGTGATCTGCCCACTTCAGCCTCCCAAAGTGATGGGATTACAGGCGTGAGTCACCGTGCCCAACTCTCAAGTTTCAATGTGCCTATGAATTATTTCTGATTCCAGGCTCTCTCTTAGTGATGTGATTCTGCAGGTTTGGAAGGGGTCCATGAATTGGCTTCTTTAAAAAGTCTCCTCTTAATGCTGATGTTTCTTCCACTACATCCAATATAGTAGCACTCAGCTAGAGAAAGTAGGCACAGCACAGAGCTCCTGACACCCAACACTGTTACCACAACACAAATACTTTTGGCCCAAAGTGGAAACCACAAGTCACCATTTTCAAACATGTCATTTTCTGCTGGCTCTTTACAGTTTAGAAAGCCTAGAGAAGGCATCAATGTTTGAGTAAGTCTGCATTTGGAAAACATGTACACATGAGTTAATACAATGTTTACTGAGCACATACTATGTGTTCAGAAGTCTGTTACAGAGCAATGTTCAGGAAACATTACATGATGTGAGTTAATCCTCATAGCACCCTGGGGGTTGGGTGCTAAGTTTTCTGTAATTTTCAGGATTTAAATGAAGGGCCTAGTATTTCTATTTTTTCTTCCATTTTAAAAATTATTTACCTGGAAAATAAAATGTGCAGAATAAATGCTATATTGACAGATGAGAAGGATAGAGAAAAAAGGGTGAACTGTTCAGAGAGATGTTTTATATTTATATTTACCTTTTTGTGCCTTGTGAAGCAGCTACTGAATTTGCAGGAATGGAAAACAAGTTGCTAGGTGGGGTGTCTCTAGAAGCACTGGCTTCAATGAAAAAGAAATTATAGCCCCCAAATATAGAATTATTTGCTTCCATTTATCTGCTTTTCCATTTTAGGAAATCGTGGGCACCAGCTCAGGAGAGGCAGCAGGAGCCCCCGCCCGAATCTCTGGCCTCCTTTAATCAGTTCTGTGAGAGAAGATTCTAGGGTGAGGTCAGACCTGGATGAGGCCATTGAAGAGGGTGGATCTGGGCAGGGCTGGAACAGAAAGTGGACCCCATATTTCTGATGTTCATGCTGGTGGAGTATTTCCAGTTCTGTCTTTCCTAAGCCTGCCCAACAGAGACTTAACTCTTAGAGCTTGTGTAATTTTAATCTGTTTTAGCCACTTCCCTGTCAATTTTTATAACACATGATAACAAGAAACTTAAGCAAAACTCTTAGGGTTTTTTAGGACAATTATATGAGAAGCTAAAAACTTATTTTTACCAAAGTGAAAGAAATAGAAATAATCACAACAATAACAATAATTCTTCTGTCCATTAATAGCCCTTCAGATGGTGACATTGGAACCCAAGGAACAGCATAAGGGAAGTGGAGCAAATGCAGCCAAGGCCCTCTGTGCAGCTCCCTTCTCCCTTCCTACTACAGGATGCTGAATTCAGCCATTAATCCATTTCCCTTTCAACCACAGGATGCTGAATTCAGCCATTAATCCATTTCCCTTCTGACCACAGGATGCTGAATTCAGCTGTTAATCCGTTTGCTCTAGATGAAAAGTTCCTGGACAATAGAAACCATGAATTCTTCATCTGTTTTTCTGATGGTCATGTGATGTAGTTTAGATGTCCCCTCCAAATCTCATATTGAATTTTAATCCCCAATGTGGCAGGTGGGGCCTGGAGAGGAGGTGGTTGAATCACCGGGTGAGTCCCTCATGGCTCTGTGCCGTCCTTGTGATAGTGAGTACTCGCGAGATCTGGTTGTTTAGAAGTGTGGTCCATCCCTTCCTCATCTTTCTTGTTTCTGCTTCTACCATGTGAGATACCTGCTTCTCTTTCACCATGATTGTAAGCTTCCCCAGGCCTTCCCAGAAGCAGATGCTGGTGCTATGCTTCCTGTACAGCCTGCAGAACCATGAGCCAGTCAAACTCTTTTCTTATAAATTACCCAGTCTCAGATTTTTTAAATAGCAATGCAAGAATAGCTTAATACATCATATGAAAAGAAAGCAATTGATATATTTACCAGTTTGAGTATTTACCAGTTTGAGTTTCCAGACCTCTGCCTTGCTTCAACTCAAAGAACAGGAAGGGAGCAACCCCTATCTACTGCTCCTGATCGTGGGAGAATCTTCAGTTCATCTTAAAACATTTCAGTCAAAAGCCCTGTGTTTTATGTAGAAGAAGGAGGGTGTCTGAAAGAATGGGTCTCTTTATTTATTTTTACTTCTGAGACAGGGTCTCTTTCCCTGTCATTCTGGCTGGGGTGCAGTGGCTTACTGCAGCTTTGACATTCTGTGCTCCAGCGATTCTCCCACCTCAGCCTCCCAAGTAGCTGGGACCACACATGCATACTACCACAATCAGATAATATTTGTATTTTTGGCAGAGATGGGGTTTTGTTATGTTGAGCAGGCTGTTCTTGAACTCCTGAGCTCGTGATCCTCCAGCCTCTGCCTTTCAAAGTGCTGGAATTACAGGTGTGAGCCACCACACCGGGCAGATGGGTCTTAACTGATTTTAATCAGGGTAACTAAGCACGGAAGACATGCCCTTAATTTTTTTCCTAATACAATATTTGACAGTTATATAACTATGATTTTTTTTTATTCCTGTGATTCATAAGGGTATGATAGTAAAAGGCCTTGAAAGCCTGTAGGAAAAAAGTGCTATATTGTGCTTGAAACCACCTTTTACTCTGAAAGCAAGTGCAATCCAGGTACATCTGTTGAGAAGATATTTTCTCCTGTTGCATTTTAGCCAAACAGCTGAGTGTGTCTTGAAGTTGTTTTTTGATTTTTAACAGGACAAGTGTATTTTCTAAGACCCCAAACTCAGGAGTGGCCATGGGGCAAATCACAGCTGCACACATAGAATGCATGAGCAGCAAATGCATTTCTCACCCTGAACCAGGGATTTTTCCCCCTGGGTGCACATGAGAATCACCAGGGAGGCTTTTAAAATTACCTAAACTCAAAAGGCAATAGATAAATGAATTCAGAATCCCTGCAGTGGGACCTGAGCCACAGAGCTGTTTAAAGCTCTCTGGATGACTATGGGGAACAACCAAGCCCCCAAACTGCTGCTTTAAGTCAGCCCCTTCCAGTGAACTAGTGGCAGATGGTTTCCTGAAATGAACGGTTTAAATCAGCCTTTTCCGGTGAACTAGTGGCAAATGGGTTCCTGAAATAAATGGAAAGATTTGCTCCTGGGTTGTGGTCTTCTGACCTTACCTGCATTACCTAATTTTCCTTGCTGAACTGACCTCTGCTACACATTTTATTCCTGATTCAATCCAGTTCTACTCATACCAAATGCATATTACGCACTAGGTGCCCTTGCATTGCTGAACCTCACTGTGGGGAGAGGACTTTGCTGAATAATAATTGCATCCAAAAAAAACCAAAACACTGGACTCGAATGATCCTCCTGCCTTGGCCTCCCAAAGAGCTGAGAGTGTAGGCATGAGCCACCATGCTTGGCCTATACCCTAAAAAATTAAAACTATCTTACTTACTAAATTGATGTAATCATGGGAAGACCTAGAAGGTCACCGAAGTGTTAGGACATAAGTAAATACCTTGGAATATTAATATCCATCTGATGATGCCCTGAGCAAACATGTCCCACTTTAAAACAATACAAAACAGTGCTATTCTTCTGAGATATGATGTTAAAATTGTGTGCAAATAGGTAATATTTAAATTTTTATATATGTATAACATTCATGCAGAAAGATGTGTACAAAGAAATCATGTAAAGTTCAATGAATTATTTCAAAGTGAACACACGTGTGTAACCTAGAAATAGAACCAGCTTCACTGATGCCCTGGCAACCACTTTCTCTCTTTTTGCTCCCCCAAAGTCACTAAGATCTTAAGAGCTAACATTGTATATCAACTTTGTATTATTGTACATGTTTTATTACAGAAAATTTAAAACATACACAAAATAAAAGAAACAGTACAATAGGCCTGTTACCCAGGCTCAACAACAACTAATAACATGCCAATTTTGTGTTATCTCTACTTCAACTCATTTCTCACACAGACTTTATTATTTATTATTATTTTTTCTGATATAAAATGTGTGCTCACTGAAGGTAAAATCTTGGCTGAGCACAATGGCTTAAGCCTGTGTAATCCCATCACTTTGTAATGACAAGGCAGGAGGATCATTTGAGGTCAGGAGTTTGAGAGCAGCCTGAGCAGCATAGTGAGACCACATCTTTATTAATTTTTTTTAAATTAATCAGGCACGGTGGTGCACTCCTGTAGTTCCAGCTACTTGGGATGTTGACATAGCAGGATCCCTTGATTCTAGGAGTTTGAGGCTACAGTGAGTTGTGATTGTGCCACCTCACATCAGCCTGGGTGACAGAGTGAGACTCTGTCTCAAAAAAAAAAAAAATAAAGGTTTGACCTTAACTAGCTTTTTACACATAAACACACCCATATAAACAATCCCTCTTTTAACACTAGAAGTACCAAATTAAAAATCATTAATGTGAACCCATTTTTAACTCAGACTTTATCTTTTAATAAGTTCCTTTTTTTTTTTTTTTTTGAAGTAAGATGTGCACTCATTGAAAGGTCTAATCTTGGCTGGGCACAGTGGCTCACATTTGTAACCTCATCACTTTGGAAGCCAGAGCTCAGGAGTTTGAGACCAGCCTAGGCAACACAACAAGACCTCACTGGGGCAAGATAGTGAGACCTCATCTCTCCAACAATTTTTTAAAAGTTAGTTTGGCATAGTGGTGCACACTTGTAGTCACAGCAATTTGGGAGGCTGACTTGGGAGGATCACTGGAGTCTGGGAGGTCAAGGCTGCAGTGAGCTGTGATTGCACCACTGCACTCCATCCAGAGGGACAGAGTGAGGCTCTGTCAAAAAAAGGTACAATTTTAACTGTACGTGTTTGACACATCAACACATCCATATAAACAATCCCTCTCTTAAAAATAAAAGTACCCAATTTAACAGATATTAATATTCATGGGAATTACCTAGAAATTTTTTGTTTGTTTTGGTTTGGATTTTTATTGAAAGGAGACACCTAGAAATGTTATTTAAAATCTAGATTTTGATAAAAATAAGCCTGAGTTTTTTCTTTTTTTGAGACGGAGTTTTGCTCTGTCACCCAGCTGGAGTGCAGTGGTATGATCTCGGCTCACCAAAACCTCTGCCTCCCAGGTTCAAGCAATCCTCCTGCCTCCCAACTAGCTGGGATTACAGGCATGAGCCACCACATTCAGTTAATTTTTTTTTTTTTTGTATTTTTAGTACAGATGGGGTTTCCTTATGTTGGCTAGGCTAGCCTTGAACTCCTGACCTAAGGTGATCCACCCGCCTTGGCCTCGCAAAGTGCTGGGATTACAGGCATGAGCCACCGTGCCCAACCAGGCCTGAGTTTTGCCTGAGAATTTCTCTTTCTAAGAAAGTACATCATATGGCAGTTACAAGGTCTCTTTTATCTAAAATATATAGAATTTAATAAATAAAAATTTAAAAAATTTACCTGAGATTAAAGGACAAATCAAAACACATATGTAATATGTTGTCTGTAGGAGTATACTTTAACAGTGACATAAATTATTAATAATCACTAAATGTCATAATAATTTATTAACTAAAATGGACGAAATTCCTAATATGATATCTATGAAAATACTTTCTTAGAGTAAAATATTCTCATGTCTTGAAAGGGCACTGGTTAAAAACAGCAAAGATGTGGAAGTCGATGTCTTATCAAGTACTTACTATCAAGTAAGTAGCAGACCCCTCTTCACACCTTTTACAGAGTTATCCAAAAAGAAGTCATTTACACAAGAGTAGACAATTTTCCTAGCTTTCTATTGAGTTTATATGTTAATATTGTTAAAAAATTTAACTCAATTTTCTTATAAAATTACTTGACCAAATTTTATATATTATATCATAATATATCAAAATTTATTTAGACGTCAAATAAATTTTATAATATAATATAATATATAACAATATCATATTATGATAAGTTCCATTTACATTCAGACAATTTCACTAGGCAGTGTCTGTCTACCACTAATTCTTTTTTGGTTCCACTATTTGCACAGGCAGCACAGCTGGGAAAACACAGACTCACCCAACACAGTCTCTTCCCCGTGTCTTTCTCCTCCTCAAGGAATCAGTTCATCAGTCAATCAAGTCATTTGGGACTGGAGGCTGAGTACTCCCTAACATAGAAATTCTCATTCCTGCATGCTTTCCTCAGCAGTGGGGGAGAGAAGAAGGTCCTTTTAGGGGACACTTGCTTGGACATAGACTAGGCTAGCTGGAGGGTTCTGACCAGCAGAGACAGACTCCGCCGCAGTAGGAAGGGATGAGGCAGCTATTCTGAACCTGGAGCTCCACCACACCTTGTCCTGTCTCACTGCGGCAATTTTGAGAGGCTGCCCCGGAATATGGTGGATGTTGAGAAATAATGTGGGCTTTGACGGGATTCAGGTGGTGTCTGCGGTGTGAAGACAGGAGCTGAATGTTCAGAATCTAGGCTGTTTTTCTTGTGATCGGTTGGGTTACCTGTTTGAGACCAAGTCCATTTTTACTAGGGAGGCTGAATAAATTCCACAGAACACAATGGTGCTCCCAGGATGACTGAGGAAGGGTGAGAAAGGGGGAAAGTTTTTCCACCTAGACTTTTTGCTACCTCAGGAATCAGGGGCTGATTAGGTTAGCACTAGCTCAACCTAATCAATTCAATTTTATTGCATTTGATCTAATTATCTTCCCCATTTTTAAGGTAGGAAGGGCCATTTCATTTGGTATTTATTTTTTTCTCTGCATTTTTATTTCTTCATATATGTGTGGTTCTAATACAATCAACCATAATTTGACATTTGTTGTTTCCAAGCATTTAAGAAATTATATCTATGCATGCAATGTTAACACTATGTACAATAAATTTTCTTTCTGTGCAAAATATATAACATATGTCAATATAGGCATGTTTAATTGTGCATCTTGAAAGGTGAACAGGATCATAAATACTTCCAGGTAGGAACTGGGACAGAAATCGGATGAAATGATTCCCTGATCTTCCGGTCCCTGTGCTCCCAGTTCTTTGTTTTCTTGACATTATGACAAGATCCTGAAAATGTCTCCCATTAACTGTGTCTAGGTCCCCAGTAGAACTACAGCAAGAAACTTCTGATTGAGGATCTAAGAAGCGGCAGGAATGAGAAAACTCTTCAGCCAATAAGAGTAAGCCACGCCCAGCCAAGGGACCTATAAAAGGCAGGTCTAGCAGAATAACCCACACTCTGCCTTTGGACGTGTGAGAGAGCGCACCTTTCACTTGAGCTTCAACATGGGAAAGGGAAATGAAGACCCCGATCTCTAGTGCTCCTCCATCCAGTGCTCCACTGACCAGCCCCCTTTCCAACAGATCTCCTTTTCAGAAAAGGGCTCAGATGAGAAGAAACCATTCAAAAGAAAGCAAGACCACCTTCTCCCATTCCAGTGAGAAGCACACACAAAGGCAAGGTAAGGCCTTGGGCTGCTCCTATGGAGGCTGGAAGGAGGGTTAGAATCAGGGATACTGAGCTATGTGTCTTTAACAGGGTTTTATTTTGAGATTTGGGGATGTGAAATGGCTTAGTGCCCTCAGGGGACTTTGAGAAATGTGTTCACTCGTGACACTGGCAGAAGAGCTTCACATGAAAGACTGATTCGCAAAAATGCATCAGAGATAGACTATGGGACTCTGCCTAGGGAGAGGTGAGTCATCTAAACTTTCTTTTGCAGCAGGATGGGAGCCCAATCCAAACAAGGAGAATTCTGAGGAAACCAAGCTCAAGGCCGGGAACAGGACTGCTGGATCAGGTAAGATTTGACTCTTTCAAGGTGAGAAGGGACAGGGCAGCAACACAAGCTCCCTTGGCAAGGAAACTGGAAGCTCCTTCGCAGCCAGGGCCGTACAGATCCTGGACACTGGAGAACAGAAGAGAGCTGGGGTTTGGTGGTAACCTCAGCTCCTGTGTGTCCAGGATGGACTAGGAATTTCAGGGTGTTCAGTTTGAGGCACTCTCTCAAACTCTCATTGTGTTCACAGAACCAGAGTCCAGCTCATATCGGGAAAACTGCAGGAAAAGAAAAATCAGTTCCAAGGATAGCTGCCAATACAGAGCAGGTAGAATCTTGGTGTTTGTTGTTGTTGCTGGTGGTGGTGGTTTTTTTGTTTTTGGTTTGCCCCAAAAAGCAAATAATCAGGAAACTTTTATATGAGGCTTGAGCAGAAAGGGAGTTACTTATTGACAAGTAAATTTTTGAGATCCTAGCACTCTGAGAATATCTGGGGACTCACAAGGGGTTCAGCTTCACTTCATTCCAGTGCTGAGATGGTCAGGAAGGAGTGGGAGAGACAAATGGGGTTCACCTGGGTGCACAGGGGGTTCTGGAAATGAGGGTCTGTGGGGACTGCTCTGGTGAGTCTCTCACATGCTTTCTTTACAGGGAACTGTCCAGAAGAGGAGTGCAGCTTGACGTTGAATAAAAAATCAAGATCCTCCACTGCTGTGCACAACAGTGAAATCCAGGAGACCTGTGATGCCCACCATAGGGGAAGTTCCAGGGCTTGCACTAGCGCAGCAAGCGGCATAAGTCTCGGGCCCTAGGAGACCAAACACCATCACTTCGAAAAAGCTTGGTGACCTCTGTGCGAGCTATGTCGGAGGCTGTTTATCAAGACCTAACCCAGGTGTGGACACAGAAAATCCATTCTCCAATGACCTGTGAGCAGCTGACACTGCTCACTAGGCTCCGGGGGCCTCTGTGTGCCCAGGTGCAGACCTTGTATTCCATGGCCACCCAGGCAGCTTATGTCTTCCCTGCTGAGAGCTGGCTTGTCCCAGCCACACTGCCTGGTCCTGGGGATTCAGCCCTGGATAGAGAAACCCATTCCTTCCCTGGGCAGGAGATAACTGAGCCTGTCAGTGGATCAGATGAGGTGAAGCTGAGAGCACCCTGACCCTATTCAGCACAGATGCAGCTCTGGGAATGAGAACAAGGACCTGCTTCTTCTCAGATTCTTCCAGATGACCAGCAGTGACAATTTTAGATGCACTGTGTTAATAAATGACAGAACCTGAAGAAGTCATAGGAAAGAAACTTGAGCTCTATACTCAGAATGGTGAGCCCTGAATTTTGCAGACCGCTAAGGCTATAGACAAATTTTATATTTCATGTTAGACATTTGATGCCTTTTGGATGTCTGGTGACAGTCGTGCATTTCTATATAATCAGAAAAATATTAGATTGTAATCATGAATTTGCATATTTTAGATTGTAGAAAAGTAAATATAAAATTATATGCTCTATTTTTTTTTGAGACAGTCTTGCTATGTCACTCAGGCTGGAGTGCAGTGGCACAATCTTAGCTCACTGCAACCTCTGCTTCCTGGGTTCAAACAATTCTCATGCCTCAGCCTCCCAAGTAGCTGGGACTACAGGCATGTACTGCCATGCCTGGCTGATTTTTTTTTCTTGTATTGTTAGTAGAGTTTTGTCACATTGGCAAGGTTGGCCTTGGACTCAAGTGATCCGCCAGCCTCCACCTCCCAATGTGCTGGGGTTACAGGCATGAGCCGCTTTACCAAGAAATTGCTTCTCTTTTAATTCAGAAAAGGTTGTAGGCTCTCACTCTTCTAGCCTGAACCCATGGAGTACTAATATCCACAAACCATTAATAGCACTCCCTGTGGGAAAATGTCTATACATTTTTACAGTTTGCATAGTAAAATTACTATGCAAGCTGTTTACTTTTAATATTTCTACATAAAATTTAAGTCAAGATATATTAAATGGTAAATGATTGTACTTATTCATCTGTCTCATGTTTTATTTCATTTTAAACATCCTGAATTTATACTTTATTGTATTTCATACATTTCAATTGATTGCACTGTATTGCAGGATATGGAGATTTCATCACCTACTACAATACAGCATATTTTGTTATATTTGTCATATATTCTACTTGTATTTTGTACTGAGATCATACAATCTTTCATTATCTAAGTGTATTAATGACTTGTTTGGTTGCTTTATAATTTTCATTTTATGTAATAATGAAATAAACATTAATATTGTTTGGAATTTTAAATTTCTTGCATCTGGAATTTGTATTTAATAAAGATGTGAAAGAGAGAATGTCTTAACTTCACTTCTGCATCATCCTAACCCTGACCTCCCCACAGTCCACAGCTCCTGTCATAGTCTGGGAATAATGTTCTATCACTACAGGAAATGGGGCCAATTTAATGGTAATACACAGATATAAATTGGAGATATAGAGATTTTATTCTCGACCACTGCAGTATAAAATAATCACAGTAACGCGAGTCACACAATTTTTGGGTTGACACTGCTTATGAGTTATGCTTACACTATGCTGTAGAATAACACTGAAATAAATTTATGTCTATTAAACAAATGCACACACATAAATAACATGTCTAAATAACAATATACATATCTTAATGAAAATGAACTTTATTGCTAAAAATGTTAACACACAGATACACACAATGGGATCATATAATGTTGAAAAATAGAGATGGGGAGAGGAACAGAAACAGAGAGAAAGGGAGGAATGGAGCGAGAAAAGGACAGATGGACAGAGGGACATTGGAAAGGAGAAAGTG
>NC_000020.11:29362183-29412507 GCF_000001405.40 Homo sapiens | reverse complement strand
CCCAGAGAGCAGTGAGCCGAGACTCGGGTGATTGTCCGTTTTTCATCCACATGGTTCACAGATGAGATAGCCCCACGTTGAGCCTGCAACAGAGCGCGAGGCGGATAGTCCCGTCCACACAGGAGTCACATTCAGGGCCACTCCTTTGCCCTCTGCAAGGGGGCCTGTTGTTCACATGTCTCCGGCCCCCAAAAGCGTGACCATGTTGACTATTTGTTTCCCGAGCTCTGTGGGGACCCAGAAACCTCCAGCGAAGCGTGGAAAAGCAGCATCCTGTCTTCGCTCTCCTTTCCAGTTTCCAAACAGGCCACAGTGGAGACTTCCCTTGTTGCAGGAAACAGGAATCTGTGGTCAGGCCGTGATGCACGGGACGTTTTTCTCTGTAGTTTCGCTCTCGTTTTCTACATGAAAATGAACGAGATCCATACCCCTGCGTGTGTGAGACTATCAGGGCAACGGCGACACCCACAGGCATTGCCGCCTTCACGGAGAGGGCCTGGAAAACTCAAGACTGTCATGGAAGTTCAGTTCCACACTCCACCCTTCGGGGTGGTTTCTGCCTGAAAACTGTGGGAGTCAAGAGAGCGGCTTCCAGTTTCCATAGAATTACTGGAGAACCCAGAGAGCCAGCCCCCGAAGCCCCTTTTTCCCCTCTAATCTGGCCCTACACCCACCCACCCCACAAGGCCCTGGTCCCTGTGGTTTTCGGCTTTGGAGGGCGGGCTACCCCGGGACCTTGGGCCCCGAGCTCATGCATGTTCATAACGGGGTGGAGGTGGTAGGTCTTTCTAACGGCCTCCGAGCTGGACCTGCCTGCAGCGCAGAGGCCAGCTGAGGTGCACGGGAGCCCACCGGCCTCTCTCTGCCCGTGTCCGTCCGTGAAATTCCGGCCGGTGCTCTCCCGGCGATGGCTCTCCCGACACCTTCTGACAGCACCCTCCCCGCGGAAGCCCGAGGACGAGGACGGCGAAGGAGACTCCTTTGGACCCCGAGCCAAAGCGAGGCCCTGCGAGCCTGCTTTGAGCGGAACCCATACCCGGGCATCGCCACCAGAGAAAGGCTGGCCCAGGCCATCGGCATTCCGGAGCCCAGGGTCCAGATTTGGTTTCAGAATGAGAGGTCACGCCAGCTGAGGCAGCACCGGCCGGAATCTCGACCCTGGCCCGGGAGACGCGGCCCGCAAGAAGGCAGGCGAAAGCGGACCGCCGTCACCCGATCCCAGACCGCCCTGCTTCTCTGAGCCTTTGGGAAGGATCGCTTTCCGGTCATCGCCACCAGGGAAGAACTGGCCAGAGAGACGGGCCTCCTTGAGTCCAGGATTCACATCTGGTTTCAGAATCGAAGGGCCAGGCACCCGGGACAGGGTGGCAGGGCACCCGCGGACGTAGGCGGTTTTTGCAACGCGGCCCCCGGCAGGTGTCAGCGTGCTCCCTCCTCTATCGAGTTCACCCACACTGGGGCGTGGGGAACGGCGCTTCCCGCACCCCACATGCCCTGCGAGCCTGGGGCTCTCCCACAGGGGGCTTTCGTGAGCCAGGGAGCAAGGGCCGTCCCCCTGCTCCAGCCCAGCCAGGCCTCGCAGGCAGAAGGACTCTCCCAACCTGCCCTGGCACGCGGGAATTTGAGTTCCCTGCCCTGGCTCCTCCGGAAGTGGGACTGTCCCACCCTGAGACTACTCGGAGGCCTCCGCACCCCAACAAATGCCAAGAGGACCAGGACCCGCAGCGCGACGGCCTGCTGGGCGCGTGCTCAGTGGGACAGCTTGGGCCCCCTCAAGCTGAGTCACAGGGGCAAGGTGTGCTTGCACCACCCATGTCACACCAGAGTCCGCGGTGGGGCTGGAGCCCCAGGTCGCCAGGGCGGCGTGGGAACCCGAAGACGGGGCACCTCCACTTCCGAAGCTCGCGACCCCGGAGGCCTCCGCGTCAAGCACAGATGCCAGCCATCAAGGCGCCTCCCAACCGTTCCAGGAGCCAGGGCGCTCGTCTACACTCACCTCCAGCCTGTTAGATGAGCTCCTGTCAACCCCAGAGTTTCAGCAAAAGGCACAAACTTTCCTAGATCCGGTGTCACTTGGGGAGCTGAAGGAGGTGGAAGAGCCCGCTCCGCTGAACCACTCCTCAGCCAGGAAGAACACCGGGCTTGCTGGAGGAGCTTTAGGACCCGGGGTTGGGGCGGGGCGGGACGGGGCGGGGGCAGGGCGGCTGCCTCTCTTTCGCGGTGAACCTCTGGCTCGGTATGGAGAGGCATATCTTCCCTTCCAGCTGACCTGCCTAGGATACCTGAGTTCCAGGTCTGGCGAGTGACTCCACACAGATGAGGGCTGTCATTCTTTCCTGAGTATCCCGGGGATCCCAGGGCCCGTCCAGGTACCGGGAGGTGTACTGTCTACTGCTCATGCGCGGGTTTGCAGGCCGCAGCCTAGGTTTTCTAACCAGCCCAGGCGGAGCTCTCATCCCTGTTCCCCGCGCGTTCTTTAGTCGGGTTGGCGGAGTCCTCGGTCCGCGAAACACTGGGTTGGGGCAGAAGCCAGGCCAGTTCTCCTTTCTGCAGCTTGATTCCTCTGCCTCTTCGCTCACAATCACTTGCCAACCCGTGTCCTGCCAGCCTCCTTGCCAGCACCATGGAGCGCCTTGTAACTAAAGACCCGAGACCCCTTGCAAACCGGGGTGCTGCCCTTTCTAGGCAAGAGGCAAGGCAGGCAGAGATGAGGACAGGAACGGAGACAGAGTGGGACGGAAGGATGGAGCTAGGAAAGGATGGATGGACTGAGAGACTCTGGAAGGGAAAGAGGGAGGGAGGGAGAAAGGGAGGAAAAAACCAGGGGAGGGAGGGAAGAACAGAGGGAAGGATGGACCCAGGGACAAAAGGAGCAAGAAACAGTTTTAAAGGAAGGCAGAGAGAAAAACGGTCTTCTGCGTCCAGAACCAACAGGACCCAGCACTCCGGGAAAATGTTGGGTGCCCAGTGCGGGCTAAGTGCTGGGCCCACAGCCCCTTTGGCCAGCGGGGCGCTCAGCGGCCCTCCGGATCGCCAGCCTGGGTTACTTCATCCCGGAGCGATTCAGACCAATTCCGTTTCCGAAGGAATGAGCGAATTCCCCAGAGAGCAATGAGCCGAGACTCAGGTGGTTGTCTGTTTTTCATCCACATGGTTCACAGATGACATATCCCCACGTGGAGCCCTGCAACAGAGCGCGAGGCGGATAGTCCCATTCACACAGGAGTCACGCTCAGGCCAAGTAAAGCGTGATTCTGGATTCCACGTTTCTTTGCTCTCTGCAAAGGTGCCTGTTACTCAAGTCTCTGCCGCCCCCCGAAAGCGTGACCATGTTGACTGTTTCCCGAGCTCTGTGGGGACCCAGAAACTTCCAAGAAAGCGTGGAAGACCAGCATCGTGTCGGTGCTCTCCTTTCCAGTTTTCAAACAGGCTATATGGGAGACTCCGCATTTTGCAGGAAACAGGAATCCATCCTCAGGCCGTGATGCACCTGACGTTTCTTTTCTCTGTGCTTTCGCTCTCATTGTCTACATGAAAATGAACGAGATCCACACACCTGCATGTGTGAGACTATCACGGCAACTGTGACACCCACGCGCTGGCAATAGAGTCGGCAGCCTGATCCCGTGACAAAGGTACTGACGGACATCCAGACACGCCCCACCACAATCACTAGCAAACCCACTCCCAAACACACAGACACACACGGGTGCACGCGCGGGAACACAAGCATACACGCAGACACACAAAGACACAGACAGCTTGAAGAAGAGCAAGGGACAGAGGGATGGAGAGAGAGAAACAGCGATCGAGAGAGAGAGAGAGAGAGAGAGAGAGAGAGCGGGCAAGGTGGAGAGGGAAGTAGAGAAAGGGAGAGGGTGAGGGAGCTAGAGAGGGATAGCAACAGAGCCTTGGAGAGGGAGGCTCTGCTCTGGTATACAGGGGACCCTTTGGCCAGGGTAGGGTGGAGGGTGCCTGGGCCGGGCTGGAACAGGGGGGCAGGGCCGCCCAAGCGGGAAAACCAGCGGAACCCTGAAACGTGTTTTTACTTGGATTGGTTGGTGGCTTTGGGGGTGCGTTTCCTAGCGTCATTCCTTTGTTGGCTTCTCCCTGTCCTCTTGGTGCTGTGGGCCCTAAAAGTTGTGGAGTGCGCCTGTCCCTGTGGCGGGAGCAGTGGCGCCGAGCGTGCCACGGGCCGCCGCTTGGGTTTCTCTCGTGTTCAGAGTGGTATGGCCGTAGACAATGGCAGTAGACAAGAGCCCGGTCCAGCTACGCGCGCCTGATTCAAGGCGTCATAACCAACCCGGGGCCACGAGGCTGGGATCAGGCACCCTGCAGCCGCTTGCGGGTGGCCTGGCTGCTCTCCCCGTCTCAGCCCAAACACCACCAGTCGCCGAGCTGCGCTTTCCGCCGGCCTCCCTGAGCGTCCCGCCGTCGCCGGGGGCCAGGCCTGGCGCAGGACCAATGTGGCGCAGCCCTGCTGTTGCTGGGGGGCGCCGGAGGCCTCCGTCCCTTGCCCAGGCTTCTGGCTCTCCAGGCTGCCTCCCTTCCGCCCACGCTCCAGGGCTTCCCCGGCTCCCGAGCTCCGAGCTTCCACCACATCGGCCGGCTCAGGACAGGTGTGCTCATCCCTTCACTTTTTAACTGTTTGTTGTTTCTATTTATATTTTATTGTGCTATGTCTTGAAATGTTGTTGTAGTTATTACTTTTGATTGGATATTATTTAGTATTCCTACTTTGAATAAGAGTAGTTTGCACACCACACAGCTATAGTGTTACAATATTCTGTTTTGTTTTGTATCCTATTAGCAGTGAGGATTTTTTTTTACCTTTAGGTGATCATTTATTGCTCATTAATGTCCTTTTCTTCCTGATTGAAGTACTCTCTTTAGCATTCCTTTAGGACAGACATGGTATTCATAAAATACTTCAGCTTTTGTTTGTCTGGAAAAGTCAGTATTTCTTCTTTTTATTTGAAGAACATTTTCACTGTATATGCTATTCTAAGGTGAAAGTTTTTTTCCTTTAGTACTTTAAATGTTTATTGTTTCTCTCTCCCGGCCGGTAGGCTTTCCACTGTAAAGTCTGCTGCCAGATGTGTTGGAGCTCACCGGTATGTTACTTGTTTCCTTTCTCTTTCTTCCTTTAGAACTTTTCTTTATCTTTGACTTTTGGAAGATCTATTGAATGCTTTGAAGTAGTCTTTTTTGGGTTAAATCTGCTTAATGTCCTATAACATTTTTGTAGTTGGATATGGATATCTTTCTCTAGGTTTGCAAAGTTTTTTGTCATTATCCCTTTGAATAAATTTTTCTACCCCTGCCTCTTTCTCTACATCT
Organism: Homo sapiens; assembly: GCF_000001405.40. Classification (NCBI taxonomy): domain Eukaryota; kingdom Metazoa; phylum Chordata; class Mammalia; order Primates; family Hominidae; genus Homo; species Homo sapiens. The sequence continues at coordinate 29,407,167 of NC_000020.11, read as the reverse complement.
TCTTTAAAACCAATAACTCTTAGATCTGTCTTTGTGAGGCTATTTTTCTAGATCCTGTAGGCATGATTTGTTGTTTTTATTCTTTTTCTTTTTCTCTTCTGACTATGTATTTTCAAATAGTCTGTCTTCAAGCTCACTATTTCTTCTGCTTGATCCATTCTGCTATTAAATGGCTCCAATGCATTCTTCAGCATGCCAATTGCATTTTTCAGCTCCAGAATTTCTGCTTAATTTGTTGTAACTATTTCAGTCTCTTTGTTGAGTTTAGCTGATAAAATTTGGAATTTCTTTACTTTGTTATCTTAAAGTTCTTTCAATTTTTTTTTAAATACAGCTATTTTAAATTATCTGTCTGAAAGGTCACATATCTCTTTTTCTCCATTATTTGTCCCTGGTGCCTTATTTAGTACGCTTGGTGAGGTCATGTTTTCCTGGATGGTGTTGATGCTAGTAGATGTTCTTCAGTGTCTGGACATTAAAATCTTGGGCATGCAGCACCATATGAGAGGTTTAAAAAATAAAATTAAAAAAGAGAAAAGGTGAGTATTTATTGTAGTCTCCATTGTCTGGGCTTATTTGTAGCTGTCTTTCTTGGGAAGACTTTTCACATATTTGAAAAGACTTGGGTGTTGTGATCTAAGCCATATCTGCTTTATGGGTACCTTCTCTGAGTCTTCCAGACTCAGAGAAGTACCACCTTGACAGCCTTCAACAAGATCCAGGAGAATTTTCTGGATTACTAGCCAGAGACTCTTGTTCTCTACCGTTATTTTCTCTCAAAGATACAGAGTCTTTCTCTCTGTTCTAAGCCACCTAAAGCTGGGAGAAGAAAGACACAAGCATCCCTGGCCACCAGCACTATGACTGCCCTGGATCAGACCTGAAGTTAGCACAGCACCGGGTCTTGCTCAAGTCCTGCTGCATGCACTTTCTGACGACTGCCTATGTTCACTCAAGGCCTTTGGTCTCTATAATTAGCAGGTGGCAAAGCCATCCAGGCCTGTGTTCTTTCCTTTAGGGCAGTGAGTGCCCTCAGTCCCTGGCTGGGTCCAGAAGTGCCACTCAGAAGTCAGGGAGTAGAGTCAAAAATTTTAGAAGTCCACTTGACATTCTATTGCCTTGCAGCTGATCTGGCACTCAAACCACAAGACATAGTCCTTCCTATTCCTCCCTTCCTTTCCTAAAGGCAGGGTAGCCACCACCACCTCAGGCCACAATGAGTACTGCCAGGCTACCACCAATGTTCCCTTAAGGCCCAAAGCCTCTTGTCAGCTTGTGATGAATGCTGCCTGGCCTGGGACTTGCGTTTTCAGGACAATGGGATCCCTACTGGCCCTGGGGAGCTTCATAAATGCCAACCAAGAATCAAGTCCTAGAATCAGGGATTCCAAAAGTTCGCTTGGTGCTCTACCCACCTCTGGCCTTGCTGGTACCTAAGGGGCAAGACAAAGTCCACTTTAATTTTCCCTCTACTTTTCCCAAGAAGAAGGAGTTTTGCCTTTTAGCCACCAGAGCTGGTAATGTGCTGAGTTCACCTAAATCTAACAAGTCTATGAGAGTCATCCAAGGCCCTTGATGTAGTACCTGGGTATGGCTGCTGGTTATTCAGAGCCCAAAGATTTTCAAGTTTGCAGGCAATAAATCCTGCCAGCACATGGTCCTTTTCTTCAAGGCAGCAGGTTTCCTTCTGGCCCAGGGTGTGTCTAGGAATATCTAGGAGCCAGAGACTGGAAAGGAGGTTGCAGGATTCTGACCAGTGCACTATCTTGCTGTGGCTGAGCTTGTGTCCAGGATGAAAGACAAATACTCCCTATTCTTTTCCCTCCTCTCCTCAAGCAGAAGGATGAGGTCCCTTTTGGAGCCATGAGCTGTGCAATCTGGTGTTAGTGGAATGATAATGCCAGAAGTCCTTTGGCTGCCCCAGCTGGTGTCTCAGTATGTTGCATGCCCTCCCCACCAAGTCCACTGTCTCTGGGCCCGGTTCAGCCCTAGGCCTCACCTAAGAGTTGCAGTCCTGATGGCCTAGGCTGCCTTTCAAGTTTTCTTAGACACACAGAGTGCGGGAGCCCTTAGTTGCCAGGTTTCCAAACACTGAAGTTCCAACCACTGGAATCTGATTCTCCTCTGGCTGGGGCTGGTTTAATTGATCCCTCTGTAGATGGGCATTAACTGCACTTGGTCTGGTTTTCCTTTCAGCTCTAACAGGACAGCACTGGGTGCAGTGCCTCACAATTGCTGTGTCTCCCTCCCGCAGAACCCAGAGTTGATCTCTGCAGCATGCCATCACTGCTGGGGATGAGGAAACGGTGATTTCAGGACTGTTTTTTCTGTCTCTTCAGTGCCTCTTTCAGTGATCTCAGGTTAAAACCAGGTACTTTGAGTACTCATCTGATCTTTGGTTCCTATGAATGTATTTTCTATGTGGATATTAATAGTTGTTCATCTGGTGTCCTTGCAGGAGGGACAATCAGTGGAGCCTTCTTTCTGCCATCTTGCTTTACTCTCACACCCAAGAATCAGAATTCAGAACTTTTAATAAGAAAAGCTTTCAGAACTCAGGAAGGACAAGGAAGACATTCTGGTTCTCCATGCTTAACATTGGACTCTTTCTTCAACTTAGGTGCATAGCACTGACTAATCAGGGATTATCATAGATAATTTGACTTGGACTATGCCGTTCATTCAAATTCTTTATCTAGACAATTTAAGTACTAGCTGATTTGGCATGAAAATCTGGCAAAGTGTTTTCTTGGTATTCAATTGATTTTTATTCTGCTTGGGTTAGCAGTTGTATTAACCAGTTAGTCTCTTCATTAAAGTTCTGGGAATTCTTACCCAGTTCAAATAATATCATTCTAAAGTTCTCAAAAACCTGTATTCAAGAGTGCTTCTCAGGGCCTTCTCCATCCTTTCATGAACCTCCTTAAGGATACAATATTCCAGGATTTTGCAAGCTTGTAAAGTTTTCAGAAACTGCCTCAGAATTAAGCAATTTACTGTAGAAATCACTTTAAGTTGTCATAGTCAGATACAATTGACAAGAAAATTTTATTATTTATAGGCATGAGCCACAGCGCCTGGCCTCTAAAGCTAATTTAATAAAACTTTATAAATGCATTTATCAAATTTTGTTATCTTTTAATCCCAGATTTTTGTGAACCTATGCTTTGCATTTTCCCCCAACTTTCTATATTTATCTAGTTTTATCTAGTTTTTTTACTTCTTCAATTTGAAACCTTTAAGTAACTTCAAACCAAAAAAAAATTAAAACACAGTTTTATGGATTTATAAGTTTTATCATCAAAAACATATTTTCACAATCCTATAGTCCCAACAATTTGGGAGGCCAGGGCAGGTGCATCACTTGAGGTCAGGGGTTCAAGACCAGCCTGGTCAACATGGTGAAACTCTGTCTCTACTAAAAATACAAAAATTAGCTGGGTGTGGTGGAGAGCACCTGTAATCCCAGCTACTTGGGAGGCTGAGGCAGGTGAATCACTTGAACCGGGGAGGCAGAGGTTGTAGTGAGCTGAGATCATGCCACTGCATACCAGCCTGGGCAACAGAACAAGACTCAGTCTCAAAAAAGAAAAATAAGGCATATCTTGCTTTTTATACACTCTGTATGCAGAATTGTTTCTCTCGTATCTAGTAATTAAGTCTTAGGAGTCCCAATATTCAATGAAACCCCTACAAAGTGATTTCTCAACTGTCTTATGTCAGTATTTTTAGATAAAAACCATTTTACAACTTTTAAGAAATATAATTCTTCAAATTACTGTTTATTAACAGAACTAAAGATATTTAGGTTTTCTGTACCATATTCAAGTAACATGTCATGGTATATAGAACTAAACTAATTTTTAATGGTTAATATTTCACTATTTTAGCTTACAAATGACTCAAGATATTTTACGGCTATTACTTAATTTAATGTGAATTTAAGATTTTAAATTACTGAACAGAATTTTGAAACCATGACACAGGTAGCATCCATAATGTCTTCCCTCAGTAATTTTAGGTCCCAAGTAGCCACATGGCACCCAGGAAAACTGTGAAGATCAGGGCCTGCCTGAGTCCATTAGGACTAAAGACAGAGCTGTGAAGACTATACCTGGAGGATCCAACCCCTTCTAAAATAGCCAGAAGGCAAAACAGGGAAAGCATGGAAAGAAGGGGCCGATTTGGGCTTGATTCTGGCTTTTAGCTGCTGATCTAGGCACTGAGAACGTGTCTCCGTACTTCATCATGGTCACCTATCAAGACCCCCTGAATCCAGAAACTCTCAACGGAAGATATAAGCTCACAGTTAAATCAAGCAAATATCTAATTATTTTTAATGGATAATTATAAAGCCATTTCTATTTTACTAATGATTTAAGAATGAGCTTTTACAAAATATTATCACATACATGTAACACATATAGACATACAAACACACAGGAGCAGATCTTATAGCTTTCATAAAGGATTAAAAAATTTTTTATTTTAGGCTCGGGGGAACAGGTGAAGGTTTGTTACATAGACAAACTCGTATCACAGGGGCTTGTTATACAGATTATTTCATAACCCAGGTATTAAGCCCAATACCCCATAGTTATCTTTTCTGTTCCTTTCCCTCTTCCCACCTTCCCCCCTCAAGTAGACCCCAGTGTCTGTTGTCTGTTGTTTCCTTCTTTGTGTTCATAAGTTCTCATTATTTAGCTCCCACCTATAAGTGTGAACACATAACTGCATAGTATTCCATGGTGCTTATGTGTGTTCTGTGTGGGAAATGTGTGAGGAAAGAAGAAAAGAAACACACAATACTTTTAAGGGTAAACAGACTTTATCCCAAGTATATGGCAATATAGATATAATAAGCAAATGATACAATAAACAAATTGTAATGGGAAGGGGAGAAGGGAAAATGTGTATATATATGTGTGTGTGTATATATATGTAATATATATACGTATATATGTGTATATATATGTAATATATATACGTATATTTGCATATATATGTATATGTACATATACGTATATATGTACATATATCTATATATGTACATATATACGTATATGTACATATATACGTATATATGTACATATATCGATATATGTACATATATCTATGTACATATATCTATATATGTACATATATACGTATATATGTATATACATATATGTGTGTATATATACGTATGTATGTGTATATATATGTGTGTATATATATATATATATATATATATATATATACACACACACACATATATATATATATTTTTGTTTTACACTCGCCAGACTATGGAGGATTCATCACCAGACCAGGAAGCAACAGCCTGGGCTCCAGAGTTGGCCAGCAGTCCATGCACAGACGAGGAGAGGTCCCATGAACCTTCAGCGTGGTCTGGGAACCGAGCTCTTTTTGTAACAAGTTGTTTGTCATGAGGCCCAGTCCTGAAGGCCCTTCGTGACTGGGCTCAAGGAATACAAAAAGTCAACTTGTTTTTGCCATTGTCTGTTGTTTTTCAATAACTACTTAATAATACAATAATAACAACTACAATACTAAATACAATACAATAAAAATACAATAATAAAAAAATACAAAAATATACAATAATAAAAACTACAATAATAACAACACTGGATGAATGCCTCAAGGGGCTCACACAACTCGTTCCAGGACTTAGTGACCATTGTTTCTGTCCCTGTTCAATAGAGATCAAGTTTAATATTTAAATTTTCCTGCACAATGTGCCATATTATCTGTATCCAATCTGTCATTGGGCATTTAGGTTGATTCCGTGTCTTTACTATTGTGAATAGTGCTGCAACATTTATGTTCTTGTGTCTTTATGATAGAACAATTTATACACCTCTGGGTATATACCCAGTAATGAGATTGCTGGGTCAAGTGATAGTTCTGCTTTTATATCTTTCGAGGAGAACACTGTTGTGCTTTCCACAATGGTGGGACCAATGTACACTCCCACCAACTGTGTGTGTGTTCTCTTTCTCCACAACCTTGCCAGCATCTGTTATTTTTTTACTTTTTCATAATAGCCATTCTGACTAGTGTGAGATGGTGTCTCACTGTGCCTTGGATTTGCATTTCTCTAATGATCAGTGATATTGAGCTTTGTATTCTATGGTTGTTGGTCACATGTATGTATTCTTTTGAAAAGTGTTCATGTCCTTTGCCCACTTTTTAAACATTTTTTTATTTCCATAGGTTTTAGGACAACAGGTGGCATTTGGTTACATTAGTAAGTTCTTTATAGATTTGTAAGATTTTGGTGCATCCACCACCTCATCTGAATACACTGAACCCAATTTGTAGCCTTTTATCACTCACACCGTTCTCCCATTTCTCCCTGAGTCCCCAAAGTCTATTGTGTCATTCTTAAGGTTTTGAATCCTTATAGCTTAGCTCCCAATTATAAGTGAGAATATATGATGTTTGGTTCTCCATTCCTGAGTTACTTCACTTAGAATAATAGTCTTCAATCCCATCCAGGTTGCTGCAACTGCCATTAATTCATTTCCTCTTTATGGCTGAGTAGTATTCCATTGTGCATATATACCATGATTTCTTCATCCACTCATTGATTGATGGGCATTTGGATTGGTTCTATATTTTTGCAATTGCAAATTGTGCTGCTATAAATATATGTGTGAAGGTATCTTTTTTGGATAATGACTTTTTTTTTCCTCTGGGTACATAGCCAGTAGTGGGATTGGTGGGTCAAATAGTACTTCTACTTTTAGTTCTTTAAGGAATCTCCACACTGCTGTCCATAGTGATTGTACTAGTTTACATTCCAACCAGCAGTGTAGAAGTGTTTCCTTTTCACTACATTCACACCAACATCTATTTTTTTTTTATTATGACCATTCTTGAGAGAATAAGGTGGTATCACATTGTGGTTGTAATTTGCATTTCCCTGATCATTAGTAATGTTGAGCATATTTTCATATGTTTGTTGGCCATTTGTATATCTTCTGAGAATTGTCTATGACCATACTGCCAAAAGCAATCTACAAATTCAATGCAATTGCCATCAAAAAACCATCATCATTCTTCACAGAACTAGAAAAAACAGTCCTAAAATTCATATGGAACAAAAAAGAGCCCACATAGCCAAAGCAATACTAAACAAAAAGAACAAATCAGAAGGCATCACATTACCTGATTTCAAACTGTATCATAAGACCATAGTCACCAAAACAGCATGGTTCTGGTATAAAAACAGGCACGTAGACAAATGGAACATAATGGAGAACCCAGAAATTAACCCAAATATTTACAACCAACTGATCTTTGACAAAGCAAACAAAAACAAAGTGGGGAAAGAACACCCTACCCAACAAATGGTGCTGGGATAATTGGCAAGCCACAAGTAGGGGAATGAAACTTGATCTTTATCTCTCACCTTATACAAAAATCAACTCAAGATGGATCAAGGACTTAAATCTAGGACCTGAAAGTATAAAAATTCTAGAAGATGACATCAAAAACACCCTTCTAGACATTGGCTTAGCAAGGATTTCATGACCAAGAACCCAACAGCAAATGCAAGAAAAACAAAGATAAATAGGTGGGATTTAATTAAACTAAAGAGCTTTTTCACGGCAAAAGGAACAGTCAGCAGAGTTAACAGAAAATCCACAGAATGGGAGAAAATCTTCACAATCTGTATATCTGACAAAGAAATAATATCCAGAATCTACAACGAGCTCAAACAAATTAGCAAGAAAAAACAAACAATCCCATCAAAAAGTAGGCTAAGGACATGAATAGACAATTCTTTGGCCACTTTTTAATAAGGTTGTTTGTTTTTCTCTTATAAATTTAAGTTCCTTATATTGAATATTAGATCTTTGTCAGATACATAGTTTGTAAATATTTTTTCTCATTCTATAGGTTGTCTGTTCACTCTATTGATAATTTTTTTTGCTGAGCAGAAGATTTTAAGTTTAATTAGATCTCACTTGTCAATAGTTGCGTTTGTCAATAGTTGCGTTTGTTGTTTTTGGTGTCTTTATCATGAAATCTTTGCCTGTTTCTATGTCCAGGATGGTATTGCCTATGTTGTCTTCCAGAGATTTTATAGTTTTGGGTTTTACATTTAAGTATTTAATCCATCTTGAGTTGATTTTTGTGTATGGTATAAGGAAGCAGTCCAACTTCAATCTTCTGCATATGGCTAGCCAGTTATCACAGCACCATTTATTGAATAGGGCATCTTTTCCCCATTGCTTGTTTTTGCCAGCTTTGTCAAAGATTAGATAGTTGTAGTTATGTGGTCTTATTTCTAAGCTCTCTATTCTGTTCCATTGGTGTATGTGTCTGTTTTTGTACTAGTACCATGCTGTTTTGGTTACTATAGTGCTGTAGTATAGTTTAAAGTCAGGTAATGTGATGCCTCAAGCTTTGTTCTTTTTGCTTAGGATTGCCTTGGCTACTTAGGTTCTTTCTTGGTTCTATATGAATTTTTAAATAGCTTTATCTACTTCTGTGAAGCATGTCATTGGTAGTTTAATAGGAATAGCTTTGGGCAGTATGACCATTTAAATGATATTACTTCTTTCTTTCTATTAACATGGAATGATTTTTCATTTGTTTGTGTCTTCTCTGACTTCTTTGAGCAGTGTTTTATAATTTTCATTGTAGAGATTTTTCACCTCCCTGGTTAGGTGTATTTGTACGTATTTTATTCTTTTTGTGGAAATTGTGATTAAAATTGCCTCTCTGATTTGACTTTTAATTTGGCTCTTCTTGGTGTATAGGAATGCTAGCAAATTTTGTACATTGATTTTGTATCCTGAAACTTTGTGGAAGTTGTTTATCAGCTTAAGGAGCTTTTGGGTCACAACTATAGGGTTTAGATAGATAATTATATTGTCTGCAAACAGAGGTAGTTGGACTTCTCTTTCTATTTAAATACCTTTATTTCTTTCTCTTGTCTGATTGCTCCAGAAAGGACTTCTAATACTATGTTGAATAGGAGTGATGAGAGAGGGCATCCTTGTCTTGTGCGGGTTTCAAGGAGAATGCTTCCAGATTTTGCCCATTTAGTATAATGTTGGATGTGAGTTTGTCATAGGTGGCCTTTATTATTTTGAGGTATGCTCCTTTGATACCTCGTTTATTGAGAATTTTTAAAATGAAGATTTGTTGAATTTTACTGAAAGCCTTCTCTGCATCTGTTGAGACAATCACATGGTTCTTATCTTTAGTTTTATTTATGTTATGAATCACATCTTATTGATTTGCCCATGATGGACCAACCTTCCATTCCAGGGAAGAAGCTTACTTCACTATGGTGAATTAGTCTTTTGATGTGTTGCTAGATTCAGTTTGCAAGTATTTTGTTGTGGATTATTGAATGGATGTTCATCAAGGATACTGGTCTGAAGCTTTCTTTTTTTGTTGTGTCACTGCCAGGCTTTGGTATCAGGATGATGCTGGCCTCATAGAACAAGTTGGGGAAGAGTCCCTTCTCCTCTATTTCTTGAAATAATTTTAGTAGGACTGGTACTGGCTCTTCTTTGTACATCTGTTAAAATTTGTTAATCTATCAGGTCCTGGGCTTTTTTGGGAGGTTGGTAGGCTATTTATTACGGATTGAATTTTTGGAGCTCACAGTTGGTCTGTTCAGAGACTGAATTTCTTCCTGGTTCAGTCTTGAGAGAGTGTAGATGTCCAGGAATTTATTCATCTCTTCTAGAGTTTCTAGTTTGTGTGTGCAGAGGTGTTCATAGTAGTTGCTGGTTGTTATTTTTATTTCTCTGGGGTCAGTGGTAACATTCCCTTCAGCATTTCTAATTGTGTTTCCTTGAATCTTCTCTCTTTTCTTCTTTATTAGTCTAGCTAGTGCCTATCTATCTTACTAATTTTTTTCAAAAACCTTGATTAAGTGATCTTTTGAACGCTTTCTTGTCTCAATTTCTTTCAATTCAGCTCTGATTTTAGTTATTTCTTATCTTCTATAAGCTTTGTGGTTGAGTTCTTCTTGCTTCTCTAATTCTTTCAGTTGTGATGTTAGGTTGTTAATTTGAGATCTTTCTAACTTTTTGATATGGGGATTACTTCTTATGCCCTACTCTAACTTTTCTACTTCTCCTAGAAAACTCAGAACTATGCTTTCTAAACCAATTCAAACTTTCTCAGTGAATCAACCTGGTCTCCCTGAGGCAAAGTTAGCAATTTTCCATTACACGTGGTTCTCTTTCTCTGTAAGAATATCTAATGCAACAATGCAAGTGATTCTTTCCCTCCTGGATATGCAGGGAACTGCTTTTGGCTGAGACCAAGACTTAAAACCTTGTTCTTTCAACATTAATGAAGATCTACTTAGCTTCTATTTTTACAGAAAAGACTTATAAATACCAATGAAAATAAATATAAAATTATATGACATACAATTATATTGTGGAAAGACTGAATAAATAAGTGAACTAAGCTCTAAGAAAAAAAGATGGTGATATAAAATGATACATAAGTAAAGTCCTGGGCTGGTATAGCATAATTAATGTATCAGTAAAGTATGTACATTGTAGAAGTGGCCGGAAGACTGCATAGAGAGGGAGACCTGACCAAAAGCTTTAAGGAAAGTTCTATACCCTTAAAAGAGATTAAAGTGCACTCGGGAAAACATGGTCCGCGTTAGGAGAAGGACACATGTTCCAGACAGGCCAAAGCTCAGAGCATCTCTACCTTCTCCAGGAGGAAAGTGGCGGCAAAGCAGCAGGCAGAGGGCAGCAAGACCAGGTCAGCACAGGGCACCCAGGCCAAGCCAGGTGGGCTCCATCGTACAGGTAGTGAGGATCCACTGTCAGGTGGGCTTTATTCATTAGTTTGTTTTGTTTTCTTTAGTAACTAAGACACGTGATCAAAGTTGACCTTTGTAAGTATTGCTGCAGCTGAACATAAGATGGATAAAACCAGTGTTTTAAAAATTATGTTGTATAGAGCATTAGCCCCAGTGAGATATTAGTGGAACACACAGGCACACACACGCACACACACTCACACTGAGCCCAGATTATTCTGGCAAATGCTGGGTTAAGCAAACTAAAAGAAACATCTTTAGTGCTGGACTTCTCAGAACCTGGAATGTGGCTATATGACTCATAAAACAGCAAGGTTAAGACAGAGCATGTCATTTTTTTCCCAGAAATGTTGAAACACTTTCCTTCCCTTGGCTTCAGTGTCACATTCTTTCTCCTGGTTCTCTATCAACCTCTTAGGCTGCTCCTTCTTGATTTCCTTTTTGACAATCTGCTGCTGCTCAGCCATTCTCTTTTCAGTCCCCATGGATTTCCCAAGTGTGTTTCTATTCCTGCAGATTAAACTTTCCTTGTTTTTCCTGACACCTCTCCTTGTCTGACCCTCCCCTGTTCTAAGGCAGATGTTCCATCTGTGTGCACTTTTGTCATCCTGGGATGCTCCCAGCATGTTCGCTGCCACACTCCATCAGGTTTTCTCCACAGACTCTGCGAGGGCAGCAGCCTTGTCTCCACCGTTCCTTCAATGCTCAGAACATAACACAGAAGCTGACTCCATAACATTTAGTTGGCCAACTGAGACTAAATATATGTTCCTCTAGATCTTAAAAAGTTACAGAAACATAGCACAATAGTCAAAAAAATTCTCTTCAGTCAGGAGTTCTCTATATATGTACAACAGTTTGAAGTCATTATTAAGCAAAGTGAAACAAAACTGTCACAGAATTCCCTAAGATAAATTATTTAGCTTTAATCTTCAATTCATCATGTGAGATAATCAAGATCATGTGTTATTGTAAATATTTCTAGCTCACAACACAACAACCTGATTTTTATTGTTTGAAATAACCACAATATAAATCAGTTAATTTAAAATTGCATAAATAATCCTTTCAAATAAAATTCTGCCTAAATTTTACATTACTCATACGTTCAAATGATAATGAGCTCATAGGCTTTTCCAATACCTCAGTCAAAACATTGTACTGATTCCAACTGTGGGAATAGTATCTGAAAGTTATTTTAAAGATGGGGAAAAAGTACTTACGTGACATTAGCCTTTGCACTACTGTGCCCTTTTGGGTCAGGAAAAAGCTGTTCCCTTAAAATCCTAAAATATCTTCTGTCAGGTCTGAAGGGTGGGTGGAAAACACAGTTTTTTAAATTTTAGCCACAGATGTTTTATTCCTTGCTTAAAGCAGTGACTAGATAAAGGCCACTAGAAGAGCCTCCAATGCTTCTGCAGAAGCGTGTGCCTGAGAACATCTTCCTGAAACACTCCCTTGTCTCTGCCCAAAATCACCTTAGGTAGGAAAATCACAACTCAGCAGGCTGAGGAGATCCAAGGGGATCACTGAGCTCTGAGGCTTATGAGAGAAGAGAGAGAGGTCTAAGACTTTTTGTGTATAAATTTATGGGTTCTAAGTGCAATTTTGCTGTAAGCATGGATGGCATAGTAGAGAGTCAGGGCTTTTAGGGTATCCATCACCAGAATAATGCACATTGTACCCATTAAGTAATTTCTCACTATTCACCCCTTCTATCCCCTCACCCTGCTGAGTCTCCATTATCATTCCACTCTCTACATCAATACCTACACATCTTTTAGCACCCGCTTATGAGTGATAAAATACGATGTTTACTCTGTGTCTGGCTTGCTTCACTTACAACAATGGCCTCCAGTTCCATCCATGTGTCTGCAAAAGTTATGATTCTATTTTTTGTGCCTGAATAGTATTTCATTTTGTATATTTTCTACATTTTCTTTATCCAATCATTTGTTGATGGACATTTAGGTTGATTTTATACCTGTGCTACTGTGATTAGTGTTGCAACAAATATATAAGTAGTTATCTTTCTGATACATTGATTTCTTTTCCTTTGCATAGATACCCAGTGGTGGGATTGCTGAATCAGACAGAGCAAATAGATGATCAGTAATGGTGGCCAATCATCAGCTAGAAACAAAGTATTTAGCAGTGCTTGAAAACACCAAAACTCTGAGACCACTGACCTTCCAAAACTTCAACAGCCCTGAGTGAAAAGTCCAAACACATTTATACGCCATTCAAAGACCCTTTATTTTCTGTCCTCTGTGCATCTCAGTAGTCTCTTTTTACCACACGGTCTATATACTGTATGAGACCATTTATGTGAAACTATCTGATGCTCCAAGGCATCTTATACTATATGTTCAACCATATATCCCTAGTACCTAGCACAGTCCTGGCATATAGTTTGCTACTAAACATTTGCGGAATGAAGGAATTATCTTGTACTCAGGTTCAAGTTTTAAGGTGATTCTTCACTAAAATAAAGTATTACAGTTCACAAATAATCTACTTCCTTTTTTACAAATGGGATCAATTTTAATCTTATCCCCTAATAACATTACTTTCATTTACTCCCATCTAAATATACTGTCCTAAGACAGCAATAAGAAAGAGAGTTGAAGCTGGAGCTTGAAGAATTCTACATGGTCCAGTGATACCCTAACTTATTTTAACCTGAGTGACTTTCTCCTAGCAGAGAGCTGGACAGACTCCATTTTAGTTTCTTCACGTGCAGCCCCCTTTACGTCCCTCCCTTAAGGGCATAACTAGTGTAAACTGACTCAAAGCACTTCCAGGAATCACTTACTGATAAGATATTGAGGCAAGCTGCACCAGCAGCTCCTGGGGACTCACTCGGTGAATGGCACCCAAAACCCCTGCATTTCTCTCTTTGTGATAGTTTAAGCCCCTGCACCTAGAACTGTTTATTTTATTGCAACTGCTTTTGTAACCAATTAATTTTTTAACTTTTTGCCAGCTCTGCTTCTGTAAAAATTGCTTCAGCCAAACTCCCCCCTCGCCTATTTAGACCACGGTATAAAAGAAAACCAGCCCCTTCCTCGGGGCCGAGAGAATTTTGAGCGTTAGCTGCCTCTCGGTCGCCGGCTAATAAAGGACTCCTTAATTTGTCTCAAAGTGTGGTGTTCCTCTATAACTCGCTTGGTTACAACAGTCCACACTGTGGCCTGAGGTGCATCGCCCACCTGAGCTTCGTCTGTTGGTTATGTCAGGGAAGATAAGCAGGGTGAGAGTGGCCTCATCAGAGGACCCCAGATCTCTGGCTCCCCCGTCTGGCAAGTGCACCTCTGTGAACAAAGTCTTCAGAGCCAGAAGACAAGAACAGCCCAAGCAGTCCACCAGGGAAAACTGGGCCCAGTGTACATCAATGCAGAGCATCAAGCACGGCATAACAGGTGCACAGTTGCCTATTCCTGTCCAGAGATGACTGCATCCCACATACGGTAAAATGAGGAAATGCAGAGAAGCAGATGTAACTGAAGAAGACAGCAGGAGCAATAAGAAAGGACAACCACGACCTAGGAGGGCACCATGCCAGAGAGGCCTGGACCCCACGCGAGGCTCAGTGCCTGTTATACTCTTGGGACTCAGCGCTTTCCTTCTCCATCACGTGGCATACTTGGCATTATTTGTTGTTTAAAATATTGTCCTTAGTTTTCACCTTTCCTAGAAGACACAGGCTGACCCTACGACACTACAGCTGGCACACAGTAGGTGAATCACTAACATCTGCTGAGTTCACACACTCTTGCCTTCTCAAACCTTCTTGTCAAGTCTTCAGTGAAAAGGAATTGCTGATTGAGCAAGAATTAAACTTCTAGAGAATCCCGGATCCACTGAAGTTTGAGACAAGGTGAGATTTGTTTACTGCCATATTCCTAGCTCATAGCATGCTGTAGTCACTTAAAAAATGTTTGTTGAATAAATGAGTGAATTGATTCAAATGTCATACTTAGCTATATATTTTCTGAGTAAAATTGATAAATTTAATAGTTTACTTGTAGTATAATTTTACTTTACTTATTCAATGAACCTGACAATTCAGCTAGGTGCCAGGCACACCGCTGCTGAAGAAAAAGAGGTATAAGATATAACTTCTGTCTACAAGAAAGCCACAGTCTAAAAAGTAGAAACATATGAACAAATTATAACAATAAATAGGCTAAATTCAAAATCAGAGGGGTTTGTTTCTATTTTAAACAGCTCTAGTCAGGAAGTGTTAGAAAGTTCTAAACAGGAAATATTCCAACACACCTTCTAAGCATGAAGCAGAAGACACCCATAATTGAGTTTGCTGCCACCAACCCCAATAGCAAGAATTCCAGTCCTGCTGCTGCAAAGTAAGTGTCACTCTGATTTTATTACTGCTGTGTAACCCAGTTTTAGACTCTCTGGTTGTCACTTAATGTTCTAAAAAAGTATTAAAGAGAAAACATTATTATGGTGATGAGCCCATCCACTGCAGCCATCTCAACATCATACCAATTATAAGGCCTATCATTTAAAAAGAAAACTGTTAGTTTAACTTATTTATCCAAATATCAGTATTACACAAACATATTTGCCATCAGACTTTGGATTTGTGGGTTAAATAGCATACAAATATGATTAGAGCCTTAAAGTTTACACTTTTCTGGTTCACTCAAATGTTTTTCAAAATAGCATATGCCTTTCTAAACAATTGTTAGTATATTTTTTAAAATGAACATTAAAATGTATATTTTCCAAAAACTAAATACAGCTCCCATTGGTAAATGATGATATTGAGATACAACAGGCAACTTCTCTTGGGAACCATTTAATCAGTGCTCACTTTTACACCCTTATCAGAAATGTCAATGGCTTTAAAATATAGAAGTATATTATACAACTAAACTTACACTTGTTCAGTATTGTGCAATATTTAGTACTTGTTCTAGCTATCTCTTGCTGAATAGTAAGCCATTCCAAAACTTAAGGAATTATTTATGGTTTAATATTGTTTATTGTTATTATTTGTTTAGTAATTTTAAATAACGTTATTTCTCATGGTTTTGTGGGTTGACGGGCACTACAAAAGTTCTCTTTTGGAGTCCTTCTTGCAGTTGCGGTTGGTTGGCTGCTGCTGAAGTCACCTGAAAGCTCAGCTAGGCTAAAGAGCCTAGACAGGTCACTCACATGGCTGGCAGTGCATATTGGCTGCTGAGTGTGATGTCTATCTGTCCTCTCCATGTTACCTGGAGTCCTCAGAACGTGGTAGTTTGTTCCAAGACACACAGGCAAATACTACAAAGCTTCTTATGACCTGGCCTTGGAGGTCCTAGAATATGACCTCTGCTGCATCCTATTGGTAAAGCAAGTCATTGTGACCAGCACAGATTCAAGAAATAGGAGAGTAGACTCTACCTGTCAAGGTAAAGAGCAGCATGTGCATGCAGGGAGGAAAGAAATTGAGGGCATCATCTTGAAGACTATCATATCACACCATTATTCCAGCTAATGAACATTATGTTTTAGATGGGTAGTACTAGCTACTCATGTCTCCCCCAGAAACCCAAGCTAGTCATGGACATATTGAAGACTATCATATCACACCATTATTCCAACTAATGAACATTATGTTTTAGATGGGTAGTACTAGCTATTCATCTCTCCCCAAGAAACCCAAGCTAGGCATTGACATACTGAAAAGAATGTCAGTACCATGAAAAAACTCTAGAAAAATTACATGTGATGACTGAGGTTAATTCAGTCTGTCAATCACATCAATATAATTCCCTTCTTGTAACCCTAAATATAGTGAAACAGAATTGAATTCTACAGAAGTCTTTCATCTGTTTTCCTATGGAATAATTAACAAACCAAATAAATGTATAAATAGTATGAAGTCCAATTTATGTTAGATCTTTTACCTCTTAATTTCAAAGCTTATAGAAATCCAGAGAACTAATCATCATAATCCATAATGCCTGGACCAGAAGTCCTTACTCTAAGAGTATCCTGTGGCATGCTAAAAATGTATTACTAGCTAGGAAATTTAAAACTTTTTTGTTAGCGATTTTAAGAGAGCTGACTATCTCATCAGCACAATTCACACAGATTAAGAATGGAAGTTAATCTGCTGAGTGGATTCATAGTGATCAGAAAAAAAAAAATCACAAAAGAGGAAAGGAGATAGAGAAGGGGAAACATACCGTCAAACCCTACAATTAAAGTGATTTTTCAAATGGTTTGATTTTGTATTTGCAAAGGAAAGGCAGCTTATTGTGATAGAATAAGAATCCCACTTCTATATCTTTTTTTTTTTTTTTTTTTGAGACGGAATCTCGCTCTGTCACCCAGGCTGGAGTGCAGTGGTGCGATCTTGGCTCACTGCAAGCTCTGCCTCCCCGATTCACGCTATTCTCCTGCCTCAGCCTCCTGAGTAGCTGGGACTACAGGCGCCCGCCACCACGTCTGACTAATTTTTTGTATTGTTTGTAGAGACGGGGTTTCACCGTGTTAGCCAGGATGGTCTCGATCTCCTGACCTTGTGATCCACCCACCCCGGCCTCCCAAAGTGCTGCGATTACAGGCGTGATCCACTGTGCCCAGCTCGTCTTCTTTTGAGAAGTGTCTTCTTATGTACCTTGTCAATGTTTTAATGGGTTGTTTTCTTAATGTTCAACATCACTAATCATCAGAGAAGTGCAAATCAATGTGAGATACCATCTCATATTAGTCAGAATGGCTACTATTAATAAGTAAAAAATAACAAATTCTGGCTAGACTTCAGAGAAAATGAAATGCTTATACACTATTGGTAAGAATGTAAATTAGTTCAGCCACTGTGAAAAGCAGTTTGGAGATTTTTCAAAGAATTTAAAACAGAAGTACCATTCAACCAGCAATTCCATTACTGAGTATATATCCAAAAGAAAATTAAAAATTCTACAAAAAGAGACCCCACACGCTCTTGTATATTCGTCATATTGCTATTCACAATAGGGAAGGCATGGAATTAACTTATGTATGAATCAATAAATTGGATAGAAATATGTGCCACATATACACCATAAAATACTATGCACACATTAAAAAGAATACAGTCATGTCCTGTGCAGCAACATGCATCGTCTGGAGGCCATTATCCTAAGGAAATTAATACAGGAACAGAAAACCAAATACCACACGTTCTTGCCTATAAGTAGAATCTAAACATGGGGTACTCATGAATAGAAAGATGACAACAATAGACACTGAGAACTACTAGATGAAGGAGAGAAGGAGGAGGGCAGAGGGTGAGAAACTATGGGTGCTATGCTTACTGCTTAGGTGATGGGATCAATTATATTCCACAATATATGCTCACTACCTTGGTGATGGGATCAATAATATCCCAGCTAGCTCAGCATCACACAATATATCCATGTAACAAACGTGCAAATGTACTCCCTGAATCTAAAAAATTTAAGACAGAGACAGAGTAAGAGGGCAGAATAGAAGCCTACACTCTCGTCGCCCACACAAAAACACCAAATTTTCACAACTCACTACATTCAAGGAGCACTGTCAAAGGGACCAAAAATTGGGTGAGCAATCACAGTACCTGGTATTAAATTCGTATCACTGAAAGAGACATTGGAGAAGACAAAAAAAAAAAAAAAAGATGGTCTAGAAACACGGATGCCACCTCTTTTTCAACCACAAGTAGTGGCTACATGGTGCAGAGATAGTATGTTTGGGAGAGGAAGAGCATAGTTTGTGAGGCTTTGCAATAAACTCAGTACTACGCCGTCACAGTGAAAAGCAGAACCAGACTGTACTCAGCTGACATCTGCCAATGGAGGGAGCATTTGTATTGGCACTAGCAAGAGGAAAATCTCCCATCCTGGTGTTGGGAGCTTGAGTTTTTACAAGTCTTGCCATCATGTGTTGACGTGCTATTGGACTCTAGGAGAAATGAAGGGGCAGTCTAGGCCACAAGGACTTCAATTATTAGGCAAGTCATACTCCTAGCTGGGCTCAGAGCCAGTAGAATGTGGAGGGTGGGGAGTATGGGGTCTACTGAGACAGCAGCTGAAGTAGCTAAGGGAGTGCTCACAACACCACTCCCCCACCCCCCACCCAGCAGCAACCACACAACACAGAGAAACCTGTGAATTTGGGGGACTAGAGGACTTTACATTAAACTCAGTGCTGCCATGTCAGTAAAGACCTGGCAGAATTCATCACCTGCTGACTAAAGAACCCCTGTACCCAGAATAAAAAACAGTGACAACCAGGTAATACACCATGGGCATTGGGCTCTGAGAAGTGCTAACTTCAGGTGAGACCCAGTGCATTTCTAGCTGTGGTAGCTATGGTTAAAGACTTCTTCTGTTTGAGAAAAGCAGGGGGGAAAGTAAAGGGAACTCTGTATTGCGCCTGATATACCAGCTCAACCACAGTGGGGTAGAGCAACAAGCAGATTCTTAGAGTCCCTGACTCCAGGACTAGGGTATTGGTCAGCATTTCTGCACTTGCCCTGGGCCAAAGGTCCAGTCCCAGGCATTGCAGAATTTATCACAAGCTAACTAAAGAGTCCTTGGGCTTTAAGTGAGAAAGTGATGATGATTTTGTGGAACCCTCCCATGGGCCAGTAGCGTTGACAGTCATAGAAGAGGCTCTTCTGACTGCAGACAGGGGAAGGAAGAGTAGAAAATACTTTGTCTTATTCCCTAAGTGCCAGGTTAGCTACAGTAAAATAGAAGAGCAGGTAAATTTTGAAGATTCTATGAGACACAAACCTGGCTGGCTTTGCCTCCTATTAATCACAGAGTCCTAGGGCTTTGAATAATCTTATATGGTAGCCAAGTAGTGGTTACAGTGGGCCGTGGGTGAGACCAAGTTCTGTGCCTACTTCAGGTGTGAACCAGCACAGTCTCAGTGGTGGTGGCCCCAGGGGTGCTTATGTTACCCCAACCCCAGCTCCATATGTCTCAGCACAGAAAGAGAGACTGCCGGTTTGGGACCCAAGTTTCTTTGAATACCTGGAAAGTGTTCCCAAAGATAATGGGCACAAACAAGCCCAGACTGTGAAGACTACGATAAAGACTGAATTCTTCACTGCCCAGATATAGATGAACATCTACAAGTATCAAGGACATCCAGGAAAACATGACCTCACCAAAGAAGCTAAAAAAAGCACCAGGGACAAATCCTGGAAAAAGAGAGGTATGTGACATTTCATACAGGAAGTGCAAAATAGCTGGTTGAGGTAATTCAAAGAAATACGATATAACACAGGGAAGGAATTCAAAATTCTATCAGATAAATTTAACAATGAGATTGAAATAAAAAGAATAAAGCAGAAATTCGGAAGTTAAAATGATATTGTCATACTGAAGAATGGATCAGAATTACTTAAAATAATTGATCAAGGAGAAGATAGGTTTAGTGAACTTGAAGTCAGACTATTTAAAAATACAAAGTCAGAGGAGACAAAAAAGAATAAAAAATAAAGCATGCCTACAGAATCTAAAAAATAGCCTCAAAATAGCAAATCTAAGAGTTATTGGCCTTAAAGAAGAGGTAGAAAAAGAGATGAGTTGAACATTTATTTAAATAAATAATATTAAATAATATTAAACAATTCAACATTTGATATCAACATTAGATATCAACATTTGAGTAACAGAAAGTTACAAAACATAAAGCAGATTTAACCCAAAGAATACCACCTCAAGGCACTTAACTGAACTTCCAAAGGTTAAGGATGAAGAAATGATTCTAAAAGCATCCAGAGAAGAGAAACAAATAACATTCAATGGAACTCCAATACATCTGACAGCAGACTTTTCAGGGGAAAATTTACAAGCTGGGAGACTGGCGTGACATATTAAAAAAGCTGAAAAAGAAAGACTTTTACTTTAGAATAATGTATCTGGCAAATACTTCCTTTAAACTTGATGGAGAAATAGAACTTTTCCCGACAAACAAAAACTGAGGGATTTCATTAACACCAGACCTGTACTACAGGAAATGCTAAAGGGATTTCTAGACCTAAAAGAAAAGAAGTTAGTGAGCAATAATAAATCATCTGAAGGTACAGAACGCACTAGCAATAGCACATGGAAAAACACTGAATATTATAACATGGTAATTATGGGGTGCAAAAATCTCAAATAGAAAGAGTAAACAATAAACCAATGAAAATAATAACTACAACATATTTCGAAGACATAGACAGTAAAATAGGGAATGAAGAGAAACAACAAAAAGGTTAAAAGAATGGCAATAAAGTATAGAGTTTGTATTAGTTGTTTTGCTTGTTTCTTTGTTGATGCAATCCGTGTTAAATTGTCCACAGTCTAAAATCATGTATTATATTATTTTCAAGCCTCATGGTAATTTCAAATCAAAAAGTGTACCACAGACGTACAAAAAGTAAAAAACAAGAAATTAGATTATAATACAAGAGAAATCACCTTCACTAAAAGGAAGACAGGAAGAAAGGAAAGAAGGAAGAGAGGACAAAAATCAATCAGAAAACAAATAACAAAATGGCAGGAGTAAGTGCTTATCAATAATAACATTGAATGTAAATGAACTAAATACTCCAGTCAAAAGAAAAATAGTGGATGAATGTATAGAGAAGCAGGACAATAATCTGTGACCTACCAAAAACATACTTTAACTATAAAGATACATTTAGACTGAAAATAAAAGGATGGAAAAAGTTATTCCATGCCAATAGAAACCAAAAAAGAGAAGAAATAGCTGTACTTATACCAGATAAAAATAGATTTCAACAAAAGACTGTAGGAAGAGATTAAAAAGGTCATTATATAATAATAAAGAGATCAATTCATCAAGAGAATATAATAATTGAGCACATATATACACCCAACACTAAAGCACCTAGATAAATAAACCAAATATTATAAGAGCTAAAGAAAGAGACCTCAATGCAATAATGGCTGGACACTTCAACACCCTACTTTAGTTATTGGATAGACCTTCCAAACAGAAAATCAACAAAGAAACATCAGACTTAATTTGCACTACAGAACAAATGAACTTAATAGATATTTACAGAAAATTTCATCCAACAGCTGCAGAATATACATTGTTCTCCTCAGCACATGGGTTATTCTCAAGGATAGACTATATATATGTTAACTAACAAGTCTAAAGACATTCCAAAAAATTGAAGTAATATCGAGCATTTTCTCTGACTACAGGGAATAAAACTATAAATCAATTAAAAAAGGAATTTCAGAAACTATACAAACACAAGGACATTAAACAATATGCTCCTGAATGATTAGTAGGTCGATAAAAAAGTTAAGAAGAAAACAGAAAAATTTCTTGAAACAAATGATAATGGAAACATAGCATAGCAAAACCTATGGAATATAGTAAAAGAGGTACTATTATAAAAGGAAAATTTATAACTGTAAGTGCCGACATAAAAAACAGAAAAGCTTCAAATAAATAACCTAACAACACATCTTAATTAACTAGAATAAAAAGGCCAAGCCAAATCCAAAATTAGAAGAAAAGAAATAATAAAGATTACAGCAGAAGTAAATAAAGTTAAAATGAAGAAAACAATGCAAAAGACTAATAAACAAAAAGTTGATTTTTTGAAAAGTAAAACAATTGACAATATTTAGACAGGCTAACTAAAAAACAGAGAAGATAAAAATTAGTAAAATCAGAGGTGAAAAAGGAGACCTTACAAGTAATGCTTCAGAAAATCAAGGATTATTAGTGGTTACTATCAGCAATTGTGTGCCAACAAATTAGAAAACCTACAGACAATTAATTCTTAGACAAACACAACTTACCAAGATTGAACTAGGAAAAAATCTAAAACCTGAACAGACCAATAACAATTTACAAAATTAAAGTCTTAATAAAAAAGTCTGTAAGACCAGACTGAAAAATAGAAAAGGAAAGAACATTTCCAAACTCATTCTTTGAGGCTAGTATTACCCTGATATCAAAACCAGACAAAGACCCATTAAAAAAGCAAACTACAGGCCCATATCTGAGAATATTGGTGCAAAAATTTGCAAAAAACCTAGCAAACTGAATTAAACAACACATAAACAGGTAATTCATAATGACCAAGTGGAATTTATCCCAGGGATGCAAGGATGGTTCGACATGCAAATCAATCAATGTGATACATCACATAAACAGAATGAAGGGGCCAGGCACAGTGGTTCACGCCTGTAATCCCAGCACTTTGGGAAGCCGAGGTGGGCAGATCACCTGAGTTCAGGAGTTCTAAACCAGTATGGCCAACATGGCGAAACCCTGTCTCTACTAAAAATACAAAAATTAACCAGGCACGGTTGTGGGTGCCTGTAATCCCAGCTACTCGGGAGGCTGAAGCAAGAGAATCACTTGAACCCAGGAGACAGAGGTTGCAGTGGGCTGAGATCATGCCATCGCACTCCAGCCTGGGTGACAGAGGGAGATGTCATTTCAAAAAAACAAAAAAACAAAAAAACAAAAAAAAAAACCAAGGACAAAATCCATATAATCATTTCAATTATACTAAAAAATATTTGATAAAATTTAATATTCTTTAATAATAAAAAACTCTTTGAAAACTGGGTATGGAATGAACATACCTCAACATGATAAAATTCATATATGACAGATTCACAGCTAGTATCATACTAAGTGGGGAAAAACTAAAATCCTTTCATCTAAAATCTGGAAGATGACAAGAATGTCCACTTTTACCACTGTTATTCAACATAATTCTGAAATTCCTATCTGGAGCAATCAGACAAGAGAAAGCAATAAAAGGCATCCCAATTGGAAAAGAAGTCAAATTATCTTTTTTTGCCAATGATATAATCTCATATTGGCAAAAAAAAAAAAAGACTCCTCTGATAGGGTTTGAATGTGTGTCCCCTCCCAAATCTCATATTTAAATGTTATTCTCAATGTTGGAGGTGGGCCTGGTGAAAGGTGATTTAATCATTGGGGTGGATTACTCATAAATGGCTTAGCACCATCCCATTTGGTACTATCCTCATAATAGTAAGTGAGTTCCTATAAGATCTGGTTATTTAAAAGTGTGTAACAACTTGCACCTCTGTTTTTCACTCCTGCTTTTTGCTGTGTGATGTGTAAGATTCTGCTTCAACTTCTGCCATGACTGTAAATTTCCACAGCCCACCCCAGGAGCATATGCCAGTGCTATGTCTTCTCTACAGCCTGTAGAACCAGGAGCCACTTAAACCTCCTTTTTTAAAAATAAATTATCCAGTCCCACTCTTAGAGTGATGCAAAAATAGCTTAATACATAAAATTGGCACCAAGGAGTGGAAACTTCTTATAAGAATACCTGAAAATGTGGAATCAGCTTTGTAATTGGGTAAACAGGCAGAGGTTGGAAGAGTTTGTAGGATTCAGAAGAAGACAGAAAAATGAGGGAAAGTTGAGATTTTCTTAGAGACTGGTTGAATGGCTGAGACCAAAATGCTGATAGTGATCTGGACAGTGAAGGCTGGGCTGAAGAGGTCTCAGATGAAAATTAGAAACTAATTAGGCCTGAAACAAAGGTCACACATGTTGTCTTAGCAAAGTGGTTGGCTGAATTTCTGTCATGCCCTAGGGATATATAAAAGTTTGAATTTGAAATTAATGATTTATTATTGGGGGACCTGCCCCGACAATCACGTAGGTTCTTTTCTATTTTCCTAAGCATTGGCTGGCTTGAGAAATAAGGGGACAGAGTACAAAAGAGAGAAATTTTAAAGCTGGGCATCCAGGGGAGACATCACAGGTTGGTAGGATCCGTGATTCCCCACAAGCCACAAAAACAAGCAAGTTTTTTTAGGGAGTTTCAAAAGGGGAGGGAGTATACGAATAGGTGTGGGTGACAGACATCAAGTACTTAACAGGGTAATAGAATATCACAAGGCAAGTGGAGGCAGGGCGAGATCACAGGACCACAGAATGGAGGTGAAATTAAAATTGCTAATGAAGTTTCTGGCACCATTGTCGTTGATAACATCTTATCAGGAGACAGGGTTTTGAGATCTGACCAAAATTTATTAGGTAGGAATTTCCTCTTCCTAATAAGCCTGGGAGTGCTATGGGAGGCTGGAGTTTATTTCATCTCTGCAATATCGACCATAAGAGACAGGTATGCCCCGGGGGGGCCAGCTCAGAGACCTACCCCTAGGTGCGCATTCTCTTTCTCAGGGAAGTTCCATGCTGAGAAAAAGAATTCAGTGATATTTTTCCCATTTGCTTTTGAAAGAAGAGAAATATGGCTCTGTTCTGCCCGGCTCACCAGCAGTCAGAGTTTAAGGTTATCTGTCTTATTCCCTGAACAATTGCTCTTATCCTGTTCTTTTTTCAGGGTGCCCACATTTCATATCGGTCAAACACACATGCTGTACAATTTGTGTACTTAACGCAATTATTACAGGGTCCTGAGATGATACACATCCTTCTCGGCTGACAGGATTAAGAGATTAAAGTAAAGACAGGCATAGGAAATCACAAGGGTATTGATTGGGGAAGCGAAAAGTGTCCATGAAATCTTTACAATTTATGTTTACAGATTGCAGTAAAGACAGGCATAAGAAATTACAAAAGTATTAATTTGGGAAACTAATAAATGTTCATAAAATCTTCATAATCCATGTTCTTCTGTCACAGCTTCAGCCGGTTCCTCCATTTGGGGTCCCTGACTTCCTGCAACAATTTATGGTTTCTGTTGGAAAAATGTCTAAACAGCAAAGCATTTGAGATGTGGCCTGGCTGCTTCTAACAACCTATGCTTACATGTTCTAGCAAAAAAAAAAAAAAAAAAAAAAAAAAAAAAAAGGTTGTAACTTAAACTTACAAGGGAAGCATAGTGTAAAAGCTTGAAAACTTTGCAGCCTAGTCATGTGGCTGAAAAATAAAAAAGCTTTTATAAGAGAAGAACTCAAGCAGGCTATGGAGCAACTACTTGTTAGAGATATTTGTATAACCTAAAAAAAAAAAAGCAAGTGTTGATAGCCAAGACAATGGGAAAGAGGAATTGAAGGAATTTTAGAAATATGAAAGGCAGCCCACCATCATGGGCCCTGAGGCCTAAAAGAAGAGAACAGTTTCTGGGATCAGGCCCAGGACCTGCTGCCTTGGGTAGATTTGGAACATGGCTCCCTGCATCCTGGTCACTGCTTCAGCTCCAGGTGTAGGTCAAATTGACTTAGTTACAACTCCAGTCACTGCTTCAGGGGGAGCAAGCCATAGCCTTGGTAGCTTCCATTTGGTGTTAGGCCTGTGGGTATACAAAATGCAAGAGTTAAGACTTGGGAACCTCCACATTTATTTCAAAGGATGTATGAAAAAGCCAGGGTGTGCAGGAAGAAGCATTCTGCAGGGGTGGAGCCCTCATGGAGAACCTCTACAAAAATAATTGAGAAAAGAAATGTGGGGTGACAGTCCCCAGGCAGGCTCCCCACTGGGGCATGGCCTAGGAGATCTGTGAGGAGAAGATCAATGTTCTCCAGACCCCATAATGGTAGATCTAGCTACAGCTTGCACCTTGCACCTAGAAAAGCCAGAGGCACACAATACCAGTCAGAGGTACACAATGCCGGCCCATGAGAGCAGCTTTGGGGGCTGAACCATGCAAAGGCACAAGGTAGACCCTTCCCAAAGCATCAGTGTGCCCTGAAAGTGGGACACAGAGTCAAAAATTATTATTTTGGAGCCTTACAATTCAATAACTGCCCTTCTGGGTTTCAGACTTTCATGGGTCCTGTGGTCCATTTCTTTTGACTGATTTCTTCCTTTTAGAATAGGATTATTTACCCAATGCCTCTGCCCCATTTGTATCTTGGAAGTACCTAACTTGTTTTCTATTTTACAGGTTTGTAGGAGGAAGAAACTAGCTTTGTCTTAGATGAGACTTTTGACTTTTGAGTTAAGGCTGAAATGAGTTAAGACTTTGGGGATTATTGGGAAGTCATGATTGTATTTTGAAATATGAGAAGGATATGAGATTTGCAATGGCCAGGGGCAAAATGATATAGTTTGGGTGTGAGTTCCCACAAAATCTTATACTGAAATGTAATCCTCAATGTTGGAAGTGGGCCTAGTGGGGAGGTGATTGAATCATGACAGCAGGATTTCCATGAACAGTTTGGCATCATTTCCTTTGGTGCCATTCCAACAACAGTTAGCTTTCATGAGAGCTGGTTATCTACAAGTGTGTGTAGAACATCATCCTCCCTGCCCTCACACTTACCATGTGATGTGCAAGCACTGGATTTATTTTTCACCTTGTCAGTTGTCAGAGGCTTCCCCAGAAGCGGAAGCCAGTGCTATGCTTTCTGTAAACTCTGTAGAACCATAAGCCAATTAAACCTATTTTCTTTATAAATTAACCAGTCACTGATTATTTTTTATAGCAATGTGAGAATGGCCTAATACATCCACCAAAAAACTATTAGCAGTAATAACTTGAGTAAATTTGCAGAATACAAAATCAACATATACAAATCAGTAGGATTTCTATATGCCAAGAGTCAACAAACTGAAAAAGAATTCAAAAATGTAATACTATTTGCAGTAGCCACAAATGAAACAAAATGTGTGGGAATTTACCAAAGAAATAAAAGTTCTCAACAACTGAAACTGAAAAACACTGATAAAAGAAATGAAAGAGGACCCCAAAATTGGAAAGATATTTTTATGTTCACAGATTGGAGGAATCAGTATTTTTTAAAATGTCCATACAATCCAAAGCAATCTATACATTTCATGCCATCTCTATCAAAATAACCAGCCAGGGACAGTGGCTCATGCCTGTAATCCCAGCACTTTGGGAGGCCGAGATGGGTGGATCATGAGGTCAGGAGTTCAAGACCATCTTGGTCAACTTGGTGAAACTCCGTCTCTACTAAAAATACAAAAAAATTAGCTGGGTGTGGTGGCGGGTGACTGTAATCCCAGCTACTCAGGAGGCTGAGGCAGAGAATTGCTTGAACCCAGGAGGCAGAGGTTGCAGTGAGCCAAGGTCACATCACTGCACTCCAGTCTAGGTGACAGAGTGAGACACCATCTAAAAAATAAAACGACATTCCTCACAGAAAGAGAAAAAAAAATTCTGAAATGTGTATGGAACCATCACAAAACATCATAATAGTCAAAGCTATGCTGAGTATATAAAATAAAACTTGAGGAATTCCATTACCTGGTTTTAAATTATACTACTAACTTATAGTAATTAAAACAGCATGACACTAGCATAAAAACAGACATAAAGAAAAATGGAATGAAATAGAGACCTTAGAAACAAACTCATACAGCTAAACTAAACTTATTTTCAACAAAAGTGCCAAGAACATACAATAAAAATAAGACAGGTTTTGTAATAAATAGGGCTGGGAAAACTGGCAAGCCATAGGCAGAAGAATAAAACTAGAACCCTATTTCTTGCCACATACAAAAATCAAATTAAAATGAAATAAAGACTTAAACCTAACACCTCAAACTATCAAATTTTTACAAGAAAACATTGGGGAAACTCTTTAGGGCATTTGGTTTGGGCAAAAATTTCTTAAATAATGCCTCATAAGCACAGACAACCAAAACAAACGTGGACAGATGGGATTAAAGCAAGTCAGAAAGCCTTTTTAAAGTGAAGGAAACAATAAACAAGTGAAGAGAAAATCCACAGAATGGGAGAAAATATTTGCAAATTATCCATCTGAAAAGCAATTAATAGCTACCTGATATGATTAGGTTTGTGTCCCCACCCAAATCTCATGTTGAATTGTAATCCCCAGATGTTGAGGGAGAGACCTGGTAGAAGGCGATTGGATCATCGGGGTGGTTTCCCCCATGCTGTCCTGATAATGAGTGAGTTCTCATGAGATCTGATGGTTTTCTAAGGGACCCTTCCCCCTTTGCTTCACATACATGCTCTCGCCTGCTGTCATATAAGAGGTGCCTGCTTCCCCATCTGCCATGATTGTGAGTTTCCTGAGGCCTCCCCAGCCATTTGGAACTGTGAGTTAATTAAACCTGTTTCCTTTATAAATTATTCAGTCTTGCCAGGTGCGGTGGTTCACACCTGTAATCTCACCATTTTGGGAGGCCGAGCAGGTGGATCACGAGGTCAGGAGTTCAAGACCAGCCTGGCCAAGATGGTGAAACCCCGTCTGTACTAAAAATACAAAAATTGGCCAGGCATGGTGGCAAAAAATTAGCTGGGTGTGCTGGCAGGTGCCTGTAATCCCAGCTACTCAGGAGGCTGAGGCAGAGAATTGCTTGAACCAGGAGGCGGAGGTTGCAGTGAGCCGAGAATGTGCCACTGTACTCCAGCCTGGGCAACAGATCAAGACTTCATCTCAATAAATAAATAGATAACCCAGTCTCGGGTATTTTTTTTAAAGCAGTGCAGAAACAGACTAATACACTACAATATATTGAGTTCAAAATGTTATATAGAAAAAATGTAATAATCCAATTAAAGAGTGGACAAAAAATTTAAATAAACATTTATGAAAAGAAGACATTCAAATATCAAACAGGCAAATGAAAAGGTGCTCCACATTACTGATCATCATAGAAATGCAAATCAAACCCAAAATGAGATATCATTTCACCCCAGTTAAGGTTGTTTTTATACAGAAGTCAGTCAAAAACAAATGCTGGTGAGCATGTGGAGTGAAGGGAACCCTTGTACACTGTTGTTGGGAGCACAGTTAAGAAGAGTTTGGATGTTCCTGATACAACTATAAATAGAGCTACTATATGGTCTAGCAATCCCACTTCTCAGTATATGCCTAAAATAAATAAAATTGGTAAATCAAAGACATATTGGCACTCTCATGTTTGCTGCAGCATGGTTTATAATAGCCAAGATTTGGAAGGAACCTAAATGTCCATCAACAGATGACTGGATAGAGAAAATGTGGTACATATACACAATGGAGTACTATTCAGCTATAAGAAAGAATGAGAGCCTGTCATTTTCAATAACATAAATGGAACTGAAAGTCTTTATGTTAAGTGAAATAAGTGAGGCACAGAAAGACAAATGTGACATGTTCTCACTTATTTGTGGGTGCTAAAATTCAAAACAATAGGTGTCATAGAGATAGGAGAGTATAAGGATGGTTGCCAGAGGCTGGGAAGGGCAGTGAGGGAACAGGGGGATAGTGGGGATGCTAAATCGGTTAAAAAAAATTGTTAGAAAGAACGAATAAGACAGTATTTGATAGCACAACGGGGTGATTATAGTCAAAAATAATTTATACATTAAAAAAACTAAAAGAGTATAATTGGATTGTTTATAACACAAGCTATAAATGCTTGAGGGATGGATACACCAATTTTTTATTATGTATTACTCATTGCATGCCTGTATCAAAGTATGTCATGTACCCCCATAAATATATACACCAACTATGTACCTACAAAAATAAATTAAAGATTGAAATTAAAATTAAAAGCAAAGGGAGGAGAGTATAATGAGGCATGCGTGACCCATGGCTTGAACTAGACTTTCAGGTTAACTTTGGAGTGTCCTTATCCAAGAAGAGGGGTTCATTTAGTCAATAGGGGCTTAGAAATTTATTTTTAGTTTATAAGTGGAAAAAAGAAGGATTTTTAATCCTGAGCCATAGCTCTCAGTCAATCAATCCCTGCAGGGAACCCTGTTCTTTACTCTGGAGAAAAACACTAGTTTTCTTTTCCACTGAATAACATCACATTTCAAAACAAGGGGAAACATCTTGAAACTCAGAGGTACAGCCTTATTAAATTTGATTTGGTTTCAATTGTAGTTAATTTAATCACATGCATTCTAGTGTTTGTCCTCAGTCTTCTCCTACTTTAGGCCCATGATCTGTTGAATTTGCTCAGCTCCCTGCTCAACAGCAGGAAATCAGAATTATTTTAAAACCTCATTGTGGCTGGGAGCGGTGGCTCATCCCAAAGTGGGCAGATCGCTTGTTTTCAGGGGTTTGAGACCACCCAGCCAACGGAGTGAAACCCAATCTCTACTAAAGATACAAAAATTAGCTGGGTGTCATGATGCACACCTGTAATCGCAGCTACTTGGGAGGCTGAGGCAGGAGAATTGCTTGAACCCGGGAGGTGGAGGTTTCAGTGAGCCAAGATGGTGCACTGCACTCCAGCCTGGGCAACAGAGCAAGACTCTGTCTCAGAATAATAATAATAAATAAATAAATAAATAAATAAATAAATAAATAAATAAAAATAAAAATCTCATTGTGTTTCAAACAAAATTTCTTTTGAATATCAACTGCATCAACTTGCATATTAACTATCATTTTGTTTACTTTATATCCAATCTTGAGAAATCTTTGAGGACTAATTTCACTGTTTTCTGCCATTTTGGTAAACATACCAAATTCCATCAAACAAAATGCAGAAAATTCCTGAGAAATACATTTTCTCCTTGAGGAGTAACCTTGCTCTGTTAGAGGAACTCATGGCTACCAACCTTCTGGTTTAACAAACATGACCAGAATACTCTATCTTAATATGAGTAGCTAGGTACTCACAAGGCATCTAGAAGGTTAATACTCATGGTCTGAAAATAGCCACATTTTTTTAGCTGGCCACAAATTACAACTGCAGAATATTTGTGGCCGTACAAGACATCTTCCACCAAGCCTGAAAAATGTATAAGAGTCCTAGGATTGCAGCATTTTTTTGTAAGGATAATATTAATGAGTTAGCTTAGGTCAATGGGTTAATGGTCATTGTTAAAACCAATAGCCTTGACTTTAGTGAGTACATCTGCAACTTCCAAGTTTAATTATAACTCTTTCTCTTTATAGTTACTTATAAGTAGAGACACTAACAAAAGACAATGCATTCCTGCCCTTGTTTTCCGAGGATGTCCAACTCTGTAATGGAGTCATTTCTAATAAACTTGCTTCTTTCACTTTGTTCTCTGACTCACCTCTAATTTTTTCTCCATAAGATCTAAAAATCCTACTTTGTGGTTTGTATCAGGACCCTCTTTTCCAGCAACATCTTTCAGCAATACCATGAAGGGACACCAAGACAACACCCCCACTCCAAGGAAAGCAATCCACACAGAATCAATCAGCTGGCAAGTGGGCCATCTTTTAGAGTCGTGAAGCCGTTCAGGTGGGCAAGAACGATTATCCACTATTATTTAAGTGAGATACCCTAAGGCATAATGTTAGGGTGAGAGACTCAGCCCCAAAAGTTAGAGGCCCAGGGGCATCATCCTCAGATTAGAGGCCAAGCTCACAGGGTTAGAGGCCCTGGGGAATACTGAGAAGAATGGGTTTGGCTAAACAAGATGTTTGCCACTTTCTCTTTTTGGACTGTCCACCTTGCGCTCTCTGTCACTCACCTGAGTGCTCTGCATCTTGTCACCTTTCTGCTCACCGCCTCTGTTTTGCAGTAGCCTGGAGGCTGCCCCAGGAAAGAGGCCCCAAACCATTTAGCTTTTACTTCCCTCAACTATCCTCTGACTTTTATCTGATTGCTTGTTTAATTTGCCACTGGTCAAAGTGACACTGAAAAAAGACAGATGTATTGGAACCTAGTATTTTTGTACCTTAATTATCAGAAAAGATCAGCAGTAACCTCTCCATCATTATGACTAGAAGTTGAAATGTGGTATTTAACAGCCCTACATGATAAGATCAGATATGCCTGTTTAGTGACAGCCTCTTTTATGACAACTCTCTGCAAACAATTAACCTCAAGATGGAGAACAGGATACTTTTTCTTAACAGTTTTCTCTCATTTCTTAACCATAAGGTCATCTTTGATGAGCTGGTATAGGGCAGCTGGACCCTACATTCTAAACCCAGCATGTCACTTTTTTCCTGAGAGACTTTTGTCCATTTTATCACAGCAGTGTGAAAATGGACTAATACATTACAATATACAAGTTACAGCCTCCCCATTTCCCCTGTTTGATCTGACTCCTATTTTGCAGCTTAATTTGTTTCATAGAAGAGAAACTAAGTGGGAGGAAATGCATTATATACAGGCTTCTCTGATGTTTGGTTTGGATAAAAAATTAAAATGGGCTTCTGTATGTTTGATGGAGGAAAAGACAAAATAGGGATGGCACATAATGGATTACCCTTTTAATGCAAGTGTCTCTTAATATCAGGCTTTTCTTGGCTGGGGCTGAACTCCCCCTGCCAGTCCAAGCACTCCATAAGAACACAGACTCCTTCCAGTTCTGGTGAGGTGTGCAACACGTTATTAATTTCTTCTAGTTTTCCAGGGTTATCTAGAGTTTGGTCATCCTCTTCTCCCTGCCCTTCAAGTCCTATCTTACATACATACCCCACTCTTGAAACACCCGAGCTTCACTGGAACAACATGCAGTGGGGCCTCTTATCAGCTGGCAAAGTTGAATGTTTGCCCTCTCTAGGAAGTGACAGATGATAAGGACACTATATAGGTATATGTACCCTTTTCTATGTCTGAATTAGCCATATGCAAGGAAAAACTAAAACAATTTTCAGAGGTTCTGGGAAAATTCATAGACAAATTTAAGAGGCTAACCTTGATGTATAATCTGACCAGTCAGAATTTGCATATATTTATGTTTACCTGCTGCATGGTGGAAAAGCAGTGCATTATGGGAGTGGCTAGAGTACATGCTAATAGGGTGGCAGCCTGCAACGGGGGATGTGACACCTATCAAATAGGAGGCACACCAGTGTCTGACCAGGACCCAAAAGAGAACTAGAATCTAGAAAAGACAAATGAATTAGGAATAAAGTGTGATATATAGAGAAAAAATTATGATCATTTGACTCCTTGAAGGAATATAAAAAAGTATGATAAAGCTTTTTAATTTTTATAAAGTCTGGAAAATTACTCAGGGAAAAGATGAAAACCTAGCCTTATTAAAAAGGTGGATAATTTAGACTTTGAGGAAATACACTAACACTGACCCTGACCCCAAGAAGGGACAGGTATTGCTAGCAGTATATTTTACAGCCCAGTCTGCTTCTGATATCTGCAGGAAGACACCAAAAGCAGCCTTAGGCTTCCAGACTCCCATGGATCATATTTTAGACTTGGATTTTGCAGTTTTCCATCACAGGAATAGGGCAGAGAAAACAAAAAATAAAGCAAATCTCCCAAGAGGCCCAGATTCTAGCTGCAGCCTTGTGCTCTCCACCACTTCAGAGGCAGCCCCTGAACCCCGGCCCTCACAGAGGAGGTGAGAATGTGAAAGTCCCACTCTATGCCTCTGAGCCAATGTGCCTTGGATACAAATCAATGTGCCTTCTGTAAGAAGGTCAGACACTGTTGAAGGAAATGTACTGTGCTTCCAAGGGAGCCATCATCAGAGCCCAGCAGACTCAAAAGTGATAGGGCCTGATACTTCCTACCTCTGCTCCCATTAGACTATTAGCTATCGAGAGATGGAGGAGACTCAGGTGACTCTTGAAGTGGCAGATAGGAGTGTTAACTTCGTATTAGGTATGGGAGCAGATGACTCTGTCCTGATTCAATACAATGGGCTCCTGTCTTCTCATGATGGAGAAGCCCCAAAACACTGCTTATCATATCTTCTAAGTTGTCCTCCAGGGCCTCTGGGTTTCTCGCCTGCGTTTTTAGTAGTGTCTGAATGCCTGACCTCTTACTGGGGAGAGGTTTATTGACTCAGGAGACCAAGTCATGGTCAACTTCACAGATCATAAAGCATAGAAAGTGTTACTTTTGTTCCTGACCCCTCAGGGGAAGTTAAGAATGAGCTGTCACATTTACCGCCTGAGGTGTTGTCGCAAGTAAATCTTGAGGTTTGGGCCTGGGAAATGCACTAAACACCTCCCCCATTCAAATCCAACTTCAGCCTAGTGCTCCTCGCCCTCAGAAGAGACAATACGTATTAAGGAAAGAAGCATGAGGGGAAATTCAACCCCTTATAGCCAAATTCTTGCCATATGAGTTATTAAAGCCATAAGAGTCCCCTTACAATACTCTCATGTTACCAGATAAAAAGCCTAATGGCAAGTACAGATTTTTCAGAACCCTTAGAGCATTAAGAAATGCAGTTGTCTCCATACACCTCATTGTCCTCAATACTTACCAAGTCCCAGGGGATGCAAGCTGGTTTACATTCTTAAATCTAGGGTGGGGTGGAGCCAAGATAGCTGAATAGGAACAGTTCTGGCCTACAGCTCCCAGCGTGAGCGACACAGAAGATGTGTGATTTCTGCATTTCCATTTGAGGTAATGGGTTCATCTCACTAGGGAGTGCCAGACAGTGGGTGCAGGACAGTGGGTGCAGTGCACCATGCACAAGCTGAAGCAAGGTGAGGCACTGCCTCACTCGGGAAGTGCAAGGGGTCAGGGAGTTCTCTTTCCTAGTCAAAGAAAGGGGTGACAGACGGCATCTGGAAAATCAGGTCACTCCCACCCTAATACTGTGCTTTTCCAATGGGCTTAAAAAATGGCACACTAGGAGATTATATCCCGCACCTGGATCAGAGAGTCCTACACCCACAGAGTCCACTGATTGCTAGCACAGCAGTCTGAGATCAAACTGTAAGGTGGCAGGGAGGCTGGGAGAAGGGCGCCTGCAATTGCCCAGGCTTGATTAGGTAAACAAAGCAGCCAGGAAGCTTGAACTGGCTGGAGCCCACCACAGCTCAAGGAGGCCTGCCTGCCTCTGTAGGCTCCACCTCTGGAGGCAGGGCACAGACAAAGAAAAAGACAGCAGTAACATCTGCAGACTTAAATGTCCTTGTCTGACAGCTTTGAAGAGGGTATTTGTTCTCCCACCATGCAGCTGGAGATCAGAGAATGGGCAGACTGCCTCCTCAAGTGGGTCCCTGACCCCTGAGCAGCCTAACTGGGAGGCACCCCCCAGTTGGGGCAGACTGACACCTCACATGACCGGGTACACCTCTGAGACAAAACTTCCAGATGAACGATCAGGCAGCAGCATTTGCGGTTCACCAATATTCGCTGTTCTACAGCCACCGCTGTTCTGCAGCCACTGCTGCTGATACCCAGGAAAACAGGGTCTGGAGTGGACCTCTAGCAAACTCCAACAGACCTGCAGCTGAGAGTCCTGTCTGTTAGAAGGAAAACTAACAAACAGAAAGGACATCCACACCAAAAACCCATCTGTAC
Organism: Homo sapiens; assembly: GCF_000001405.40. Lineage (NCBI taxonomy): Eukaryota > Metazoa > Chordata > Mammalia > Primates > Hominidae > Homo > Homo sapiens. The sequence continues at coordinate 29,371,217 of NC_000020.11, read as the reverse complement.
GTCACCATCATCAAAGACCAAAAGTAGATAAAACCACAAAGATGGGGAAAAAACAGAGTGGAAAACTGGGAACTCTAAAAAGCAGAGCACCTCTCGTCCTCCAAAGGAATGCAGCTCCTCACCAGCAACAGAACAAAGCTGGATGGAGAATGACTTTGACGAGTTGAGAGAAGAAGGCTGAAGATGATCAAACTACTCCAAGCTACAGGAGGAAACTCAAACCAATGGCAAAGAAGTTAAAAACTGTGAAAAAAAATTAGACGAATGGATAACTAGAATAACCAATGCAGAGAAGTCCTTAAAGGAGCTGATGGAGCTGAAAGCCAAGGCTAGAGAACTACATGAAGAATGCAGAAGCCTCAGGAGCTGATGCGATCAACTGGAAGAAAGGGTATCAGTGACGGAAGATGAAATGAATGAAATGAAGTGAGAAGGGAAGTTTAGAGAAAAAAGAGTAGAAAGAAATGAACGAAGCCTCCAAGAAATATGGGACTATGTGAAAAGACCAAATCTATGTCTGATTGGTGTACCTGACAGTGACGAGGAGAATGGAACCAAGTTGGAAAACACGCTGCAGGATATTATCCAGGAGAACTTCCACAATCTAGCAAGGCAGGCCAACATTCATATTCAGGAAATACAGAGAATGCCACAAAGATACTCCACGAGAAGAGCAACTCCAAGACACATAATTGTCAGATTCACCAAAGTTGAAATGAAGGAAAAAATGTTAAGGGCAGCCAGAGAGAAAGATCAGGTTACCCACAAAGGGAAGCCCATCAGACTAACAGCGGATCTCTCAGCAGACACTCTACAAGCCAGAAGACAGTGGGGGCCAATATTCACCATTTTTAAAGAAAAGAATTCTCAACCCAGAATTTCATATCCAGCCAAACAAAGCTTCATAAGTGAAGGAGAAATAAAATACTTCACAGACAAGCAAATGCTGAGAGATTTTGTCACCACCAGACCTGCCCTAAAAGAGCTCCTGAAGGAAGCACTAAACATGGAAAGTCACAACTGGTACCAGCCACTGTAAAAACAAGCCAAATTGTAAAGACCATCAAGGCTACGAAGAAACTGCATCAACTAACGAGCAAAATAACCAGCTAACATCATAATGACAGGAACAAATTCACACATAACAATATTAACTTTAAATGTAAATAGGCTAAATGCTCCAATTAAAAGACACAGACTGGCAAAATGGATAAAGAGTCAAGACCCATCAGTGTGCTGTATTCAGGAAACCCATCTCACGTGCAGAGACACACATAGGCTCAAAATAAAGGGATGGAGGAAGATCTACCAAGGAAATGGAAAACAAAAAAAGGCAGGGGTTGCAATCTTAGTCTCTGATAAAACAGACTTAAACCAACAAAGATCAAAGGAGACAAAGAAGGCCATTACATAATGGTAAAGGGATCAATTCAACAAGAAGAGCTAACTATCCTAAATATATATGCACCCAATACAGGAGCACCCAGATACATAAAGCAAGTCCCGAGTGACCTATAAAGAGACTTAGACTCCCACACAATAATAATGGGGGACTTTAACACCCCACTGTCAACACTAGACAGATCAACAAGACAGAAAGTTAACAAGGATACCCAGGAATTGAACTCAGCTCTGCACCAAGTGGACGTAATAGACATCTACAGAACTCTCCAACCCAAATCAACAGAATATACATTTTTTTCAGCACCACACCACACCTATTCCAAAATTGACCACATAGTTGGAAGTAAAGCACTCCTCAGCAAATGTAAAAGAACAGAAATTATAGCAAACTGTGTCTCAGACCACAGTGCAATCAAACCAGAACTCAGGATTAAGAAACTCACTCAAAACCACTCAACTACATGGAAACTGAACAACCTGCTCCTGATTGACTACTGGGTACATAAAGAAATGAAGGCAGAAATAAAAATGTTCTTTGAAACCAACAAGAACAAAGACACAACATACCAGAATCTCTAGGACACATTCAAAGCAGTGTGTAGAGGAAAATTTATAGCACTAAATGCCCACAAGAGAAAGCAGGAAAGATCCAAAATTGACACCCTAACATCACAATTGAAAGAACTAGAAAAGCAAGAGCAAACACATTCAAAAGCTAGCAGAAAGCAAGAGATAAGTAAAATCAGAGCAGAACTGAAGGAAATAGAGACACCAAAAACCCTTCAAAACATTAATGAATCCAGGAGCTGGTTTTTTGAAAAGATCAACAGAATTGATAGACCGCTAGCAAGACTAATAAAGAAGAAAAGAGAGAAGAATCAAATAGATGCAATAAAAAATGATAAAGGAGATATAACCACAGATCCCACAAAAATACAAACTACCATCAGAGAATACTACAAACACCTCTATGCAAATAAACTAGAAAATCTAGAAGAAATGGATAAATTCCTTGACAAATACAACCTCCCAAGACTAAACCAAGAAGAAGTTGAATCTCTGAATAGACCACTAACAGGCTCTGAAGTTGTGGCAATAATCAATAACTTACCAACCAAAAAAAGTCCAGGACCAGATGGATTCACAGCCAAATTCTGCCAGAGTTACAAGGAGGAGCTGGTACCATTCCTTCTGAAACTATTCCAATCAATAGAAAAAGAGGGAATCCTCCCTAACTCATTTTATGAGGCCAGCATCATCCTGATACCAAAGCCTGGCAGAGACACAACCAAAAAAGAGAATTTTAGACCAATATCCTTGATGAACATTGATGCAAAAGTCCTCAATAAAACACTGGCAAACCGAATCCAGCAGCACATCGAAAAGCTTATCCACCATGATCAAGTGGGCTTCATCCCTGGGATGCAAGTCTGGTTCAACATACACAAATCAATAAATGTAATCCAGCATATAAACAGAACAAAGACAAAAACCATACAATTATCTCAACAGATGCAGAAAAGGCCTTTGACAAAATTCAACAACTCTTCATGCTAAAAACTCTCAATAAATTAGGTATTAATGGGACCTATCTCAAAATAATAAGAGCTATGTATGACAAACCCACAGCCACTATCATACTGAATGGACAAAAACTGGAAGCATTCCCTTTGAAAACGGGCACAAGACAGGGATGCCCTCTCTCATCACTCCTATTCAACATAGTGTTGGAATTTCTGGCGAGGGCAATGAGGCAGGGGAAGGAAATAAAGGGTATTCAAATAGGAAGACACGAAGTCAAATTGTCCCTGTTTGCAGATGACATGATTGTATTTCTAGAAAACCCCATCATCTTAGCCCAAAATCTCCTTAAGCTGATAAGCGAATTCAGCAAAGTCTCAGGATACAAAATAATTGTACAAAAATCACAAGCATTCTTATACACCAATAACGGACAAACAGAGAGCCAAATCATGAGTGAACTCCCATTCACAGTTGCTTCAAAGAGAATAAAATACCTAGGAATCCAACTTACAAGGGATGTGAAGGACCTCTTCAAGGAAAGCTACAAACCACTGCTCAAGGAAATAAAAGAAGATACAAACAAATGAAAGAACATTCCATGCTCATGGGTAGGAAGAATCAATATCGTGAAAATGACCATACTGCCCAAGGTAATTTATAGATTCAATGCCATCCCCATCAAGCTACCAATGACTTTCTTCACAGAATTGGAAAAAACTACTTTAAAGTTCATGTGGAACCAAAAAAGAGCCTGCATCACCAAGGCAATCCTAAGCCAAAAGAACAAAGCCGGAAGCATCACTCTACCCGACTTCAAACTATACTACAAGGCTACAGTAACCAAAACAGCATGGTACTGGTACCAAAACAGAGATATAGATCAATGGAACAGAACAGAGCCCTCAGAAATAATGCTGCATATCTACAACCATCTGATCTTTGACAAACCTGACAAAAAAAATGGGGAAAGGATTCCCTATTTAATAAATGGTGCTGGGAAAACTGGCTAGCCATATGTAGAAAGTTGAAACTGGATCCCTTCCTTACACCTTATACAAAAATTAATTCAAGATGAATTAAAGACTTACATGTTAGACCTAAAACCATAAAAAAACCTAGAGGAAAACCTAGGCAATACCATTCAGGACATAGGCATAGGCAAGATCTTCATGTCTAAAACACCAAAAGCAATGGCAACAAAAGCCAAAATTGACAAATGGGATCTGATTAAACTAAAGAGCTTCTGCACAGCAAAAGAAACTACCATCAGAGTGAACAGGCAACCTAGAAAATGGGAGAAAGGTTTTACAACCTACTCATATGACAAAGGGCTAATATCCAGAATCTACAATGAACTCAAACAAATTTACAAGAAAAAAATAAACAACCCCATCAAAAAGTGGGCAAAGGATATGAACAGACACTTCTCAAAAGAAGACATTTATGCAGCCAAAAGACACATGAAAAAATGCTCATCATCACTGGCCATCAGAGAAATGCAAATCAAAACCACAATGAGATACCATCTCACACCAGTTAGAATGGCGATCATTAAAAAGTCAGGAAACAACAGGTGCTGGAGAGGATGTGGAGAAATAAGAACACTTTTACACTGTTGGTGGGACTGTAAACTAGTTCAACCATTGTGGAAGTCAGTGTGGCGATTCCTTAGGGATCTAGAACTAGAAATACCATTTGACCCAGCCATCCAATTACTGGGTATATACCCAAAGGATTATAAATCATGCTGCCATAAAGACACATGCAAACATATGTTTATTGCGGCACTATTCACAATAACAAAGACTTGGAACCAACCCAAATGTCCAACAATGATAGACTGGATGAAGAAAATGTGGCACATATACACCATGGAATACTATGCAGCCATAAAAAATGATGAGTTCATGTCCTTTGTAGGGACATGGATGAAGCTGGAAACCATCATTCTCAGGAAACTATGGCAAGGACAAAAAACCAAACAGCGCATGTTCTCACTCATAGGTGGGAATTGAACAATAAGAACACATGGACACAGGAAGGGGAACATCACACTGCAGGGACTGTTGTGGGGTAGGGGTAGGGGGGAGGGATAGCATTAGGAGATATACCTAATGTTAAATGATGAGTTAATGGGCGCAGCACACCAACATGGCACATGTATACATATGTAACAAACCTGCACATTGTGCACATGTACCCTAAAACTTAAAGTATAATAATAATAAAATTTAAAAAAAGGATAAAAAATTTAGTGCATATTCATATATTGAAATAATATTAAGTGAATTAAAAAATAAAACATCTACGAGTGTGGAAATAAAATTATTACCCAACTTAATTTGTTGAAATTTTTAAAAGACTCACATTGGTGTGCAGGTTTACGCCCTTTTTTTAATAAGGAAAGATGCATATATGTACATATGTTTGTATGCACAGAAGTAGAGTGACTTTTTTATACCCTTTTGTACTCTGAAGCTTTCTGTATGAATTGCATGTATTACTTTTTCAATAAAAATCCTAATCTAAAAAAAATCTGAAAGATGTATTTTTCTGCATATTAATGCAGATTCATAATATGTTTGCCTTTGAATGGGCTGATCCAGATAGGCATTCAGCCTCAAAACTAACCTGGACAGTCATCATTGAAGGGTTCTGGGATAGGACCAACTTATTTGAAAATACTCTAGCTAAGGACTTAAGAAATCTACAATTGGAAAGGGACACAATTACTCAGTATATAGGTGACTTGCTCATTGCTAGCCCAATTAAAGAAGACTAAACCCAACTAAAGAAGACTCAAATAATAATATTGTTAAGTTGGTAAATTTCCTGGGAACTTGTAGATATAGGGCATCGCCATGCAGGGCTCAGATTTTGACTCAAATACTTAAATATTTGGAATCTATCTTAACCTCTGGAACTGATCAACATCCCTAGAAGATAAAAAAGTTATTTTAGTCATCCAAGGGTCCCAGTCCAAAAATGACTGTGGGCTTTTTTAGGAGATGGCTGGGTACTGCTGCTTATGGGTGCCCAGATTTGGGCATGTAGCCAAGCCTTTATATGATACACTAAAGGGAAAGATTTAGAGCTCCTAGAATGTAATGAGAACTGCAAGCAAAACTTCAATACTCTCAAGGAGAAATTGGGGTCTGCTGCAGCCATGGGAGTCCCCAAGTTGGATGAACCATTTTTTCTTTATGTGGCCAAAAAGCAAGGCATAGGCCTTGGGTAATCTCGTCCCAAAACGGGGACATTCCAAGGCCAGTAGCCTAATTTTCTAAGCAGATAGACCAGGTGGCCTCAGCGTGGCCTTGATGTCTTAGAGCTATTGCTGATACTACTTTTCTAGTAGGCAAAGCTAATAAACTAACATCAGAACAGCACCTATAGGTTTTTGACCCCACACCAAGGGAAGGTGGTCCTAGAAGCTAAAGGGCAGCAGTGGATAATAGGAGAACATTTATGAAAGTATAAGGCCTTATTGCTAGACACTCCAGACAACCCTTAAAGCCTACCAAACCATAAACCCAGCTACTTATCGGCCAGAGTCCACAGGAGCTTCTAGCCTTTCTGGCATACAGGTTGTATTAGTCTGTTCTCATGCTGTTAATAAAGACATATCTGAGGCTGGGTAATTTATAAAGAAAGAGGTTTAATTGACTCACAGTTCCACATGGTCAGGGAGGCCTCACACTCATGGCAGAAGGCAAATGAGGAGTAAAGTCACATCTCTTACATGGCATCAGGCAAAAGGGCTTGTGTAGGGAAACTTCCCTTTATAAAACCATCAGCTGTAATCCCAGCACTTTGGGAGGCCAAGGCAGTGGATGACCTGAGGTGAGGAGATCGAGGCCACCCTGGCCAACATGGTGAAACCCCGTCTATACTAAAAGTACAAAAATTAGACAGGCATGGTGGTAGGCACCTGTAATCCTAGCTACTCTGGAGGCTGAGACAGGAGAATCACTTGAACCCAGGAGTCAGATGTTGCAGTGAGCCAAGATCATAACAATGCACTCCAGCCTGAGCAACAGAGCAAGACTATGTCTCAAAAATAAATAAATAAACCATCAGATCTCATGAGGCTTATTCACTGTCACGAGAACAGCATGGGAAAGACCCATCCCCCGATTAGATTACCTCCCACTGGATCCCTCCCACGATATATAGGAATTATGAGAGCTACAATTCAAGATAAGATTTGACTTGGGACACAGCCGAAGCATGTCACAGGTTATGAAACGAATTGATTCTAGCAGGCCAGACTTCAGAGAGATGAGCCCCTTGACCATCCCAAGGAAGAGTGGTTAACAGATGCAAGTTGTTTTATGCATCAGGAAAACAGGAGGGCTAGGTGTGCTATTAGTAGTCAGCACAAGAGAATCAAGGCACGAGCCTTGCTGACCTCTACTTCAGCTCAACAAGCTGAGTTAATTGAACCTACTCAGCCCCTGCAGCTGGGAAAGGATTTAAAAGTTAACATTTAAACTGATTCCAAGTATGATTTTTTAGTGCTTCATGCTTATGTTGCAATTTGGAATGGGTAGGAACTCCTGACCCCCAAGGGCTTTTCCATACAACATCATTCAGATTTTGAGCTTGTTAGAATGCTGCTTTGCTGCCAAGAGTGACTATAATTAATTGCAGAGGACATCAAAAGAGAGACTGACCATGTAAAAGGAAATGCCCTTGTAGATGTCGCAGCCAAGGCCCCTGCACTAAAAGGGCCAATGAAGCTTATGGGCGTGCTGGTCAGCATACATAGAACTGGGCCAGAACACTCTGAAGAAGAACAAAAATGGGCCAGGGATTGCATTTCAGTCCAGGGCCCCTCTGGCTGGCTGAATGATGGTAATAAATTACTAATGCCAAGTACCAATCATAGGAATATAATTCAGCACTTTCATGATTCTTTTCACCCTAGAAGGGATTATTGGTTTCTGTTAATGTCTCATTTGTTTATAGGGGTAAATCTTTTCAAGACACAAAAACAGGTGACTCAGGCCTCTGAGCTCTGTGCCTGACATGACCGAAATGGCCAGCAATTTTCTCCTTCTCCAGGTAAACCTGTCCAAAATTGAGGAACCTATCCAGGTGAGAACTGGCAACTCTAATTTACTCAGATACCTTTCTGCAGGAGATTCAAATATTTGCTAATGCTTACTGATATCTTCGCTGGTTAGATCGAGGCATTCACCACCCCATCTGAAAAATGTTTACCAGAAGAAATAACTTCTCAGTTTGGGTAATCTAAAAGCCTGCAAAGTGGCAATGACCCGTCTTTCACAGCAGGTGCATCTCAACACCTATCCTCAGCTTTAAGAATCCAATATTACCTTCACTCTGTGTGCAGACCACAGTACTCTGGAAAGATGAAAGGGCTAATCTTACTCTAAAGAAGACTCTAGCTAAATCATACACCTGACTATCTCTAACACCCATAGCTTACTGCGGGTTTGAACTGCTCCAAAGTAAAACTTATAATTAAATCCTGTTAACATTTGGAAGACCTTTCCTAACCACAGAACTCCTAATAGATGAAAAGACTCATCAAGTCTTCCCCTCCCACATGGGAGGAAAATTCAGTTTCAGCTCAGCTAGGGATTTAGTCTTACTAAAGATGTGGGAGGAAGTTCTCCAGCTGACCAACTTTCCCCAACGTGGAAAGGACCACAGCAAGGACACCTGAGCTCTCCAACAGATGTTCAACCCTAAGGGATTCACAGGTGGGTACATCTGTGTGGAAGTAAAGCTGTTGCTTATTCTGGGAGCCGAATCTGAGGCTGAGGGAGGTGGGCACGGGGCTATTTCAGCGTTGGTGGAGGACGGGCTGGGTAGCTGTGCATCTGCTCCTCCTTCTCGCGTTTCTCCTGCCACTCTAATCCCGCCTTGGCCATGAGGGAAATCGTGCTCACGCAGGCCGGGCAGTGCGGGAACCAGATCGGCGCCAAGGTTGTATTTGACTCCATAAAAATTAAAATTTTGTATGAGAGAAAAATGCTTCAAAGTCAAAAGTCAACAGATTGGGGAAATAGATCTGCAACATACATGACTGACAAAAAGCTAATTTGGGATATATATATATATATATATATATATA
>NC_000020.11:29315821-29362154 GCF_000001405.40 Homo sapiens | reverse complement strand
ATGTAAATATCCGTTTTTAACACCATTTAAAAAAATACCGTCCTTTCCCAATTGAACAGTGTTGACGCCCTTGTTAAAAATCATGACCATATTTTTTGGTTCTTTATTTCTATTGCATTGGTCTTTGTGTCCGTCTCTATGCTGGTACAGCATTGTTTTGCCTACTGAAGTTTGAAACCAGGAGGTGTTAGTCCTCTAACTTTGTTAGTTTTTAAGATTGATTTGGCTGCTTGGGGTATTTTGAGATTTCATCTGAATTTTAGAACAGGTTTTTCTATTTTTTCAAATATTGGAATTTTTACAGTGATTTTATTTAATCTGTAGATGACTATAGATAACAATGGCACCCTGACAAGATTTTGTCTTCCAGTCCATAAACACATGATGTCTTTTCATTTATTTGTGTCATCTTTAATACTTTCATGCCATGTTTCTAGTTTTTGCTGTACAGGTTTTTCATTTCCTTGGTTAAGTGGGTTTCTCAGTATTTTATTCTTTTGATATTATCATACATGATACTATCGTCTTGATTTCTTCTTCAGAGAGTTTATTGTTGTTGTAGAAATACAATTGATTTTTGTGTATTGATTTTGTATCCTGCAGCTTTGCTGAATTTTATTTATTACATCTGACAGTTTATTTCACAGAAACTAAAAGATTTTTAATATATAAGGTTATGTCATCTGCAAATAGATAATTTTACTTTTTAAAAAATTGGAATATCTTTAATTATTTTACTCACCTTATTGTTTTAACAACTAGAACTTTCAGTACTATATTAAATAGAAGTAGTAAAGCAGGCATCCTTGTTTTTGCTCTTAGGGTAAAAGCTTTCAGTCTTTCACCATGTTAGCTGTGTGTTTTTGTTTTGTTTTGTTTTTTTGTATAGCATTATGTTAAGGTGTTTTCTTTCTTTTTATAGTTTATTAAGTATATTTTATCATGAATGTGGGTTAAATTTTGACAAATGCTTTTTCTTCTTTGATTAAGATGATCACATGAGGGATTTTTCTTTCTTTATGTTAATGTGCTATTACGCTGATTTTCATGTGTTGGAACATACTTTTATTTCAGGAATCAATTATACTCATTCATAGTGTATAATCCTTTTAATGTACTGCTAAGTGTGAGTTGCAGGTATTTTGTTGAGGATTTTTGCATCAGCATTTATAAGGGATGTTTGTTTGTAGTTTACTTATGGTGCCTTTGTCTGGCTTGGTGTCAGGGTAATACTGGCCTCATAGAGTAAGTTAGAAAAATATAACTCCTCTTCAACGTTTTGAAAAAGTTTGAGAAAAAGTGGTGTTAATTCTGCTTTAAACATTGGGTAGAATTCAACAGTGAAGCCATCTGGTCCAGGCTTTTCTTTGTTGCTGGGTTTTTGATTACTGATGCAATCTTCCTGCTGAATCTCCTTGCTGAATAGGTTTATTCAACTTTTCTGATTCAGTCTTAGTAGGTTTTTTGTTTCTAGGAATTTGTTCATTTTATTTAGGCTATTCAATTTTTTAGTGTATAGTTCCTTATGGTACTCTTCTACATCCCTTTTTTACTCCAAAAATTTGTTAGTAATGTACCCATTTTATTTTTGAGTTTAGTAATTTGAATATTCCCTTTCTTTCTTAATCTAGATAAAATTTTGTCAATTTTGATCTTTTTCAGAGAAAAAATTAGGTTTTGTTGATTTTTGAAATTGTTTTTCTATTCTCTATTTCACTTATTTCCACTGCTATCTTTATCTTTTTTTTAATTTTGCTAGCTTTTAGTTGTCCCTCTTTAATAGTCCCTCTTTTTCCCTCTGTTTTTAGTTCCTTAGGAGTAAAGTTGTTGATTTGGTATATTATTTTTTATAATCATTTATAGCTATAAATTTTTCCCTTGTGGTACCTTTTTTGATGTATCTCTTAACTTTTGGTATTTCATGTGTTTAATTTGTCTCTAGATATTTTCTACTTTCTCTTGTGATTTCTTCTTTTATCCATCCTTGAGTGTTTCATACCTATATTTTTAGACTTAAAATGTGTAACCTACAAAATTTTCTTGATTTGTTAGTTTTATTTGTTGTAAGTTTTTATTTCAGAATTAAATGTGTGTATCAACATTTGTTATGTTCTCATAAACTTTGTAATACATGGAGATTCCTGGTCCACATATGTAAGTCTCTACATGAATATTATTTTGAAGCATTTAACCTGTTTTAATATTTCAAAGGTCTAAATGAAATTGAGATTTTGGTTTCTGAGATGAAATCATGGTAGGTGACTGAGTAATGCTTAAAAATTAGCCAAAACTTAAAATTAAGTTAAAGTTTATCTTCAAGATTCAACCTGAATAAGTCGCCCTGTATTGCTGGTAATAAAGAATAAGTCTTTAATGGTATAAAAGGAAACTTCAGAGAATGTTTTTTTTTTCCCCAGTTGACATATAAATTAAAAGATGTAAAAACTTTTTATGGCCTTATGCATTTTTTACTTTAGATTCCAACTTTTTCTGGTTAACATTTTTCCAGATTCCTGTGTATTTGAAAGACAAATAATTTTTTAGTTGAAATGCTTAAGCAGTTAAATAAGGCCATGAAAGTTTCTTGAACTTGTGGGTATCCATGAGAAACTCTGACAATATCTTCTATCTTGGAAGGTAGAAATATCGTTTGACTTCTGTTTTGGTGACAAGAAATGTCCTGAGCAAGGCTACCTGGGACAATGACCTTACACATGGAAAACGTTGGAGCCCATCTGTTTCCAATCTGCTTTTTTCCAAAAATTAGGAAAGGTCAGTTTTCCCTTTGATACTCTCTGTTACTACCAACCCCAATGCCAGGGCTGTCCTGCTTCTACAAGTGACAATGACAAATATAGGCCTGAAGAAAGATGAGCTGATGGCATTCCCAGCTTATTACCTCTCCTTGGGGGCCTTATCTCACATACATGGATTCAACTCATAGACTCGACTGGGTGAGGATCTATTATTCAGCTACATTAGAAGTGACTGCTTAAGACTCAGGTGTGTGGTGAAATGAGGCAGAATTTTCTCAATGGAGTGTTGGGAGAATTTTCTCCTCATAATTACCATCTTACTATCATTAAATCATAGCTAAAATGAGGAAATTATTCAAGAAGAAATAGAAATGTAATCTTATGAGGACACAAATTTAGAGATTTGTGGAGAGCTCTTCATAATTTTATGGTGTTCTCTTTGAGCTGGGATTATAGTTGACATTTCATTATAATATATTAGCTGTTCTAGACTTTATGCATTTATGTAAAGTTTTCTTTGTTGTACTTTAAGTTCTGTGATACATGGGCAGAGCATGCAGGTTTGTTACATAGTTATACACGTGCCATGGTGGTTTGATGCACCCATCAACCTGTCATCTACATAGGTATTTCTCCTAACGCTATTCCTCCCCTAGCCTCCCACCCCATGACAAGCCCTAGGGTGTGATGTTCCCCTCCCTGTGTCCATGTGTCCTCATTGTTCAGCTCCCACTTATGAGTGAGAACATGCAGTATTTGGTTTCCTTTTTTTTTTCTTTTTCTTTCTCTCTCTCTCTTTTTTTTTTTTTTTTTTTTTTTTTGAGACAAAGTTTCACTCTTGTTGCCCAGGTTGAAGTGCAATGGCGTGATCTTGGCTCACCACAACTTCTGCCTCCTGGGTTCAAGCGATTCTCCTACCTCAGCCTCCCAAGCAGCTAGGGTTACAGGTATGTGACAATATGCCTGGCTAATTGTTTGTATTTTTGGTAGAGACGGGGTTTCTTCATGTTGGTCAGGCTGATCTCAAACTCTCCACCTCAGCCTCCCAAAGTTCTGAGACTACAGGCATGAGTCAGTGCTCCTGGCCTGGTTTTCTTTTCTTGTGTTAGTTTGATGAGAATGATGGTTTCCAGCTTCATCCGTGTCCCTGGAAAGGACATAAATGCATAGTATTCCATGGTATATATGTGCCACATTTTCTTTATCCAGTTTATCATTAATGAGCATTTGGGTTGGTTCCAAGTCTTTGCTATTGTGAAGAGTGCTGAAATAAACATACAGTCCTGAAATAAACATACAGTTCATGTGTCTTTATAGTATAATAATTTATAATGCTTTGGGTATATACCCTATAATGGGATTGTTGGGTCAAATGGTATTTCTGGTTCTATATCTTTGAGGAATTTTCACACTGTCTTCCACAATGACTGAACTAATTTACACTCCTACCAACAGTGTAAAAGCATTCCTATTTCTCCACAGCCTCATCAGCATCTGCTGTTTCCTGACTTTTTAATAATCGCCATTCTAACTGGTGTGAGATGGTATCTCATTGTGATTTTGATTTGCATTCATCTAATGACCAGTGATGATGAGCTTTTTTTCATATGTTTGTTGGCCGCATAAATGTCTTCTTTAGAGAAGTGTCTGCTCGTTTCCTTTGCCCACTTTTTGGTGCGGCTGTTTTTTTTCTTGTAAATTTGTTTAAATTCTTTGTAGATTCTGGATATTAACCCTTTGTCAGACAGATAGATTGCAAAAATTTTCTCCCAATCTGTAGGTTGTCTGTTCACTCTGATGAGAGTTTATTTTGCTGTGCAAAAGCTCTTTACTTTAATTAGATCCCATTTGTCAATTTGGGCTTTTGTTGCTGTTGCTTTTGGTGTTTTAGTCGCAAAGTCTTTGCCCATGCCTATGTCCTGAATGGTATTGCCTAAGTTTTCTTCTATGGTTTTTATGGTTTTAGGTCTTATGTTTAAGTCTTTATTCTACCGTGAGTTATTTTTTGTATAAGGTATAAGGAAGATGTCCAGTTTCAGTTTCTGCATATGGCTAGCCAGTTTTCCCAACATGATTTATTAAATAAAAAATCCCTTCCCCATTGCTTGTGTTTGTCAGGTTTGTCAAAGATCAGATGGTTGTATGTGTATGGTCTTATTTCAGAGTTCTGTATTCTGTTTCATTGGTAGTTTTTGTACAAGTACCATGCTGTTTTGGTTACTGTAGCATTATAATGTAGTTTGAAGTTGGGTAGTGTCATACCTCCAGCTTTGTTCTTTTTGCTTAGAGTTGCCTTGGCTATTTGGGTTCATTTCTGGTTCATGAGAATTTTAAAATAGTTTCTTCTAATTCTGTGAAGAATGTCATTGGTAGTTTAATGGGAATAGTATTGAATTCCTTTATAAATTACTTTGGGCAGTATGGACATTTTCAGGAATGAATTCTTCCCTATCCATGAGCATGGAATGCTTCTCCATTTGTTTGTGTCCTATCTGATTTCTCTGAGCAGTGGTTTGTAGTCCTCCTCGAAGAGGTTCTTCACTTCTCTTGTTAGCTGTATTCCTATGTATTTCATTCTCTTAGTAGCAATTGTGAATGAAGTTCATTCCCGATTTGGCTCTCTACTTGCCTGTTGTTTGTGCATAGGAATATTAGCAATTTTTGCACACTGATTTTGTATCCTGAGATTCTGTTGATGTGGTTTATCAGCTTAAGAAGCTCTTGGGCTGAGATGATGGGGTTTTCTAGATACAGGATCATGTCATCTGCAAACAAAGATAATTTGACTTCATCTCTTCCTATTTAAATACTGTTATTTATTTTTCCTGCCTGATTGCCCTGGCCAGAAATTCCAGTACTACATTGAATAGGAGTGGTGAGAGAGGCCATCCTTTTCTTGTGCCAGTTTTCAAGGGGAATGCTTCCAGCTTTTGCTCACTCAGTATGATATTGGCTGTGAGTTTGTTATATATGGCTCTTATTATTTTGAGGTGTGATCTTTCAATACCTAGTTTATTGAGAGTTTTTAACATGAAGGGATGTTGAATTTTATTGAAGGCCTTTTCTGCATCTATTGAGATAATCGTGTTGTTTTTGTGTTTAGTTCTGTTTAGGTGATGAATTACATTTATAGATTTGCCTGCGTTGAATCAACCTTGATTCCCAGGGCTGAAGCCATCTTGATCATGGTGGGTCAAGGTACCCTTATCAGTCTTAAGTTCAGTCTTTTTACGTAATCCCATATTTCTTGAAGGTTTTGTAGTTCTTTCTTTTTTATTCTTCTTTCTCTATTCTTCTCTTCCTGTCTTATATCAGACAGATAGCTTTGAAGCTCTGAGATTCTTTCCTCAACTTGGCCTATTCTGTGAGTGATAGTTGTAGTTGTCTTGTGAAGTTCTCATGTTGTGTTTTTCAGATCCATCATTTCAGTTATGTTCCTCTCTAAACTGAATATTCTGGTTATCAGCTACTGTGTTCTTTTATGATTTTTAGCTTCTTGCATTAAGTTAGAACATGCTCCTTCAGCTCAGAGAAGTTTGTTATTACCCACCTCCTAAAGCCTAGTTTTGTCAATTCAGCCATCTCAGCCTCGAATCTGTTCTGTGCCCTTGCTGGGGAGGTGGTGTTGTCATTTAGAGGAGAAGAGGCATTCTGCCTTTTTGAGTTTTCAGCGTTTTTGTGTTGATGCTTTCTCATCTTTGTGGGCTTATCTACCTTTGATCTTTGATGTTGCTGACCTTTGAACAGAGTTTTTGCGGGGTCTTTTTGTTGATGTTGTTGTTGCTTTCTGTTTGTTTTTAACACTCAGACCACTCTTCCCTAGGGCTAGGGCTGCTGTGGTTTTTTGGGGTCCACTCTGGACCCTAGTCACCTCAGTCTCTCCTGCACCTGGAGGTATCACCAGTGAAGCCTGCAAAACATTAAAGATGGCAACCTGATCCTTCCTCTGGGAGCACCAGTCCAAGGTGGTACTGACTTGATGTCATCTGGAAAGCTCCTGTAGGGGGTGTCTTGAGTCTCCTGTTGGGAGGTCTCACCCAGTCAGGAGGAACAGGATCAGGGACTGCTTAAAGAAACAGTCTGGCTGCCCTTTGGCAGAGCAGGTGTGTTGTTCTGACCCCCAGGATTCTCCAGAGACAGCGGGCTGGAAAGGTTCAGTTGGCTGAACTGGGGAGACAGCAGCTACCCCTCTCCCTGGGGACTTCATCCCAGGGAGAAATCAGAGTTCTGTCCATATAACTCTGGCTGGAGTTTCTAAAATTCTGATGGGGAGGCCCTGTCCAGTGAGGAGGGATGGATTTTGGTCTCACTTAAAGAAGCAGCCTGGCCACGATCAGCACAACAGCTGTACTGTGTTATAGGGGACTCCTCCTTGTCCCTGGTGCCAGCAGGCTAGAGCAGCCAACTCAAACCACAGATAGAGCAGCTGCCTCTCCCCCAGGAACTCAGTCCACCTCCGGCTGTCTCCAGCCTGCTGCCACTGGCCAGCTGGAATTCCAAGCCAATGGGTCTTGTGAGGTGCTGTGGGAGTGGGGCCTCAGAATAATGTCACTTGGATTCCTGGATTCAGCCCCCTTCCTAGGGGAATGCACAGATGTATCTCCCGCTTTGCTGGAATTCTCGGGGCAAAGTTGGGTTTCCATGCATGCCCCAGTAAGCCAGTGGGCACTCTGCTGAGACTCCACACAGCTGTGTGCTTCAGACCCAAGGCCGTGGTGGCTGAGCTCATGAGGGGACCTCCTGATCTGCAGGTTGCAAAGATCCATCAGAGAAGCATGGTTTCCCGGGCAGAGTCGCACAATCACTCATGGCCTCCCTTGCCTGCAAATGGGGGCTCGGCTAGCTCCGTGCCACACCTGGGTGGGTCATTGACCCACTTGCTTTTCCTGACTCTCTGTGGGTGGAGCTGTCTGCCTATTCAGTCTCAATGCAAGAACCTGAATACCTCAATTGAAGGTGCAGAATTCACTCGCAGTTTTCATTGCTCTCTGTGAGAGCCACGGGCCACAGCTGCTTCTAATCGGCCAGTTTGGCCCCATCTAAAGTATGATTTCTTAATACATGAGATGTTTTAAATACGTAACAATAATGATATTTATCACAAATATATTTTGTCTCAATGTGATATACAAATTGCTAATAAATCAATTATTTTTTGGTTACCACAAAGCTATCTGGAAATGTAACATCTGCCATTTATAAAATTTTTGTAGAGTTAATAGAACTTTACTTTAAGGGAGGCTGGTAATATGCATCATCACTTCAAGTACTGCCAGTGAAGTTGTGGAGTTTGAAGTGGTACTCACATATTGTTACTGGGTTTATAAATTAGTACAAACTATATCAATTGTGATTAAACAATATATACCAAAATTATAAATGGAAATACTCTCTGATTCAGCAATTTCATTTCCAGAAATTTACCCTACAGACATAGTCATGATGCCTGGAATTATTTATGAATGGCAGAAAATATTATACCACCTTTTTAATTAACAAAAGTATAGAAATCACCTTAATGTTTATCAATCACATTAATGATTATCAACTTACTGTTTATTGAAATTATGATTATTCATATGATAGAATACTAGGCAGCTATTTAAAAAAATAAATTTTAAAAGGATGCTCAAAAATGATGTCCAAGATATGTTACAAAGGAAAAAACCTGGGTGGAGAGCCGTGTGTCTGATATGCCTCCATTCCTATAAAATCAGAGTGTGTATAAATGCATAGAGTATCTCTATTAACTGGTAACTGTTACAAAATTCAAAGTTAATGCAGGCAAGGCCTTTCTTTTTTAATGCTAAAACTCCAAGGAACTGCACAACATTTAAGGTTTTCTAACACATGTCAATCTACCTTTAAACCTACACATTTTAGGAAATGAATCTCTTGAAAAATCAAGCATTAATATTCCTAGCTCCAGTTGTTTGGGACATAATTAGAATGATCCATTCTTTGAAAGTGTGTAAAATTTGCTCATACAACCATCTGGGCCTATTCCTTCCTTTGTGAAAGATTTTGTTTTACTAGAGATTTTATGTTCTTCATGTTATAGTACTTCTTAGGTTTTCTATTTCTTCTTGATTCTTGAGTCAATTTTGGTACCACTTAGTACCCCACAGGGTGCTTGGGCTCAGAACAAATCAGTCAAAGAAAAAGAGAAGAAAGGAAGGCAGGAAGGAGGGAGGAAGAAAGTAAGGAAGGAAGGGGACAAAGAAGGAAAGAGAGAAGGAAGGAAGGAAAGAATGAGAGAAGGAAGGATGGAGGGAGAGAAAGATGGATAGAGACAAAGAAAGAGAGAAGGAAATGAGAGAGAAAGAAGGAAGGAAGGAGGAAGAGAAAGAGGGAAAGAGAAAGAAGGAAATAAACAAGGAAGCAGGGAGGGAGAGAAAGAAGGTAGAGGAAGGAAGGAAGAAAGGAAGGAATGAAGAAATGAAGGAAGGAGGGAGGGAAGGAAGGGAGAGATAGAGGGAGAGAGGGAGGGAAAGAAAGAAAGAGAGAAAGGTGAAAGGTAGGGATGGGAAGAGAAGAGGAGCCAGCCACAGGCTACAGGCTGTTTGTTCACTCTTTTAGTTGACCCAGGCAGTTCTGCCTTTTAAATATTCCACCTTCTGCCATGAGTTACACTGTTCAATATTCATTCCTCAGAGCATTCAAAGGTCTATGTGTGCCCTGCCATGATGGAGCATGGCTTCAGCTCGAAAACACAACTCTCAGCCAAAATATTCATGACTGGTCCCTCCGATATACTCATCAATCCCCCATATATGGTCTGCATGTGTCCGCCGGAGCTCAAGTGTTGGAAACTTAATCCTCTACGTGACAGTGTTGAGAGGTGGGGCCTAATAAGACTGATTGGGTTATGAGATTCTGCCCCCATGCATGGATTAATGTCACTATCTCGAGAATAGGTTAGTTATCTTGGGGTTGGGTTAGTTATCTTGGGAGTGGGCTTGTATTAAAAGCAAGTTCAGCCTCTTTTGCTCTCTCTCTTTCTCAAAGTCTTGCTCTGCTGACTTCAGCCATGAGATGACACAGCAAGAAAGCCCTCACCAGATGTAGACCCTTCATCCTTGGACTTCCTAGCTTCCAGAACTCTAAGAAATAAATTTCTTTTCTTTATGGATTCCCTAGTCTATGGTATTCTGTTATACCAGCACAAAATGGGTTAAGATGACCCATTACATGGAGAGTGCTGATCCACAGGGTTGAGATCATTGACTTACGGCTTGGAGTCTTATACAACATCCCTACGGGAGTTGGCCTCCATATTCCCTAACTTCCAGGAATCTCAAATGGTGATCTCAGACAAAATGTAGCCCAGATATTTTGCATTTGGCAATATTGCCCACTTTTCCACAACTTTATCATGGCAGCTTTGATGTGTTCACTTCTATGATCCCTGAAAGGATATGAGTTCAAGATCCTGCAAGGTTACAATCCAAGGATAGAAGAGCCTAGACAAGAGTCCCATCACCTGGCTGATCAGTGCAGAGATATGTCACAAAGCCTCCGTAGGAAAAGCCTAGACAAGAGTTACATCACCTGGGTGACAGGCAAACAACAATGACAACTTATTTTCATCCCCACTTCAGTCTTTGAGGTTAGACAGACCTGGATTCAAATCCAAGCTCCACCTCTCGCTGTGTGAGCTTGCTCATGCTGCTAACCTCTCTGAGACTTGATTCTTCATTTGTTAAATGAGGATAAAGCCCCTTCTCTCAGGGGCTGTGCCAAGGATGAAATGAGTCATGTAACAAAAAAGCCCCCAAACCTCAGTGGGTTCAACAGCAAAGTTGACTTCTTTTCTTTTTTTCTTTTTTGCAGGGGATGGGGTGCGGTGGATGGAGTCTTGCTCTGTCACCCAGGCTGGAGTGCAGTGGTGCAATCTCAGCTCACTGCAACCTCCACCTCCTGAGTTCAAGAGATTCTCCTACCTCAGCGTCCTGAGTAGCTGGGACTATAGGCGCCTACCACCACGCCTGGCTAATTTTTCTTATTTTTAGTAGAGACCGGGTTTCACTGTGTTAGTCAGGATGGTCTCGATTACCTGACCTCATGATCTGCCCGCCTCAGCCTCCCAAAGTGCTGGGATTACAGGCGTGAGCCACCGCACCCTGCCTTGACTTCTCAATTGATTTCACATCCATTACGGGTCAACAAGGGGGCTCTGGTGGTCGTAGTCATTCAGAGACTCAAACAGATAGACCCTTATCCCAGAAGATGCTCCCACAGTTCCAGAAACAGAGCAAAGAAAACATAATCAGCCATGAGCCACTTCTTAAATCCCCTGCCCGGAAAGGATGCACATTTCTTCTGTCACAGATGTTGCCCAAAATGTCTCAGGCGGCCGGGCACAGTGGCTCACATCTGTAATCTCAGCATTTTGGGAGGCAGAGGCGGGCAGATCACCCAAGGTCTGGAGTTCAAGACCAGTCTGACCAACATGGAGAAACCCTATCTCTACTAATAATACGAAAATTTTCCGGTCGTGGTGGCAGGTGCCCGTTAGCCCCAGCTACTCTGGAAGCTGAGGCAGGAGAATCACTTGGACCCGAGAGGCAGAGATTGCAATGAGCCGAGACCAAGCCACTGCACCCCAGCCTGAGTGACAGAGTGAGACTTCATCTCAAAAAAAAAAAAAAAAAAAAAAGTCTCAGGCTATGTCTGAACTAGGAGGGTAGAAAAAATAGTCATTTTGGTTGCCACAAGCCATCGAAACAAAGATGCAGATCATTGATGTAAAATTACAGTTAGTTCCTTCCCACTCCTTTTCAGCTTCTCTTCGTTGCTATGAGCCAGCGTCTCCAGTGTCAGTTTTCAGTCTGTTGCCTCCCAGCTCCTAGTTCACCTTTCAATACGTGCACTGTGATAAACTGGGAAACACTGTTCAATATACCCTCTGGAAGTGAACATTCTGCAGGCATCTAGGTAGAGGATGGAGAGACTGCAGGGGGCAGGAGCTCTCTGGCTGGGCCTTGATCATGTTCAAGCCCCAACCACAGACTTAGGCGTGGTCCCTCAGCCACCTTGTAGCCTTGGCTTGCAACATCTCGACATGGAAACCAAAACGCAGCAGGGCCCATGTGATCTGAAAGTTCCTGAAAAGTTTCCCAGACCCCCTCTTGTACCCCTTGTGTTA
Organism: Homo sapiens; assembly: GCF_000001405.40. Taxonomy (NCBI): domain Eukaryota; kingdom Metazoa; phylum Chordata; class Mammalia; order Primates; family Hominidae; genus Homo; species Homo sapiens. The sequence continues at coordinate 29,350,250 of NC_000020.11, read as the reverse complement.
ACCTGCACACAGTGACCTGTATTCTAGCGGGTCCGCACAGAGCTGCCATTCCTCCTGCCAGACCCTGTGGGACTCACGCATTCTGGAGGCTTCCTGCCCTACAAAGGCAGCCAGACTCCCGCCATGCATCCCTGCACCAGCGGCTCACTGCCAGCTCCCTCACCTGCACTCCAGCGGCTCTCGGCCTGCTCCCTCCCCTGCATTCCAGCAGCTCACGGCCGGCTACCTCACCTGCACCAGCGGCTCACAGCAGGCTCCCTCCCCTGCACTCCAGCGGCTCACGGCCGACTCCCTCACCTGCATTCCAGTGGGTGGCCTAGTGCTTGTGCAAAAGCTGCTGACTAGCTCCAGCCTGCCCAAATCCACAAACGTCTCATGTGGTGGCTGAACCACATTTTATAATATCTGAACACCTTTCAAATCTGTGCTTCCTTGGGTACCTCCCTCTGCACTAGGGCACCAGGCAGAGTTGCTTTAAGTCTTACAGTGACTCTTTTATCATAGTTGCAATCCTTTATACTACACTTCCCTGTTAGACCCACTATGTGGTTTCTATTTCTTGATGGGACCCAGGCTGCTACACAACCTAACCCATGTACATTGCACTTCATTAGTTCCTCACCATTGGCCCAAGATCATGCTCCACCACCCCTCTCTGCCCCCTGACTTTCTTTCCTTAAGTGAAACCCCTAAACGCCCTCTTTGTGCCCAAAGCTTACCTGCTCTTCCTTCCCTATATTCTTGGCCAGACACAAAAATCTGATGCTCTGGCAAATGCAGAAATGGGGAGAAGGCAGGGGAATCATTTCTCCTCCCTTAGGTAAGCACTGAGGGTTATGTCATTCCATTGTGTGAGGAATAAAAAAATGAGGCATTGAGAGCTGCCATGATTTGCCTGGACAAATGAAGCTGTCATGGCAGAAGTGGAACAAAGGTTTTGGTGTCCCAAATGTCAGTCCAGCTCCCAGGCCTTCAGAACGTGCTGTGGAGGGAGACACCGGGGGACCCCACTCATGCTGAACACTAAGGGGTACCCAGGTGCTGAGAGTGGGGATGTGACAGGCTGAGTTGACTCAGTCCAGTCCTCCTATACCAAATAAGGATGGAAACTCTCACATAATAGAAGTGAAGAGAGGGAAAGAAGACAGGAACTATTAAAAGGCTGATTCCTGGAAGGTCTGGGCAGAAGGACAGGGAGATTGGAGCAGAACAGAGGCCCTAGATGGGGACAAGGGGAAGGAACTGGCCTCAGTGGCCAAATGACACCTGTCCACTGCACAGAGGCTGGAGCCTTGAGTTCTATCTAGTCCTTGTCAACTAAAATCATTCTGCCCTGTGGCTCAAGGAGTCCTAGAGAAAATGTGTTTTCTGCAGTCTGGGGAGGTGAGAATAAAACAATTCAGCCTTAAGAAGTTGAAAGTCCACGAAATCATAGCACGTGGAGATGGGATTCATATTAAACTTCCCGCCCTTGACTTCTGGTTTGGCCACGTGACCCACTTTGGTGAATGGATGTGGTAAAGTGGTAGTCTGCCCATTCTGAGCCTGGGTGGTAAGATAAGAGACCTTCACATTTCCCTTTGTTCTTTGCACTCCTGTCATTGCCATGAGAAGAAGGCACCCTGGCAGGCCCCAACCCCAGGAGGATCAGAGACACTTGGAGCAGATCCAGCTCAGCCACCACAGTTCGAGCTGAAACCTCCCAAGCAACCCATGCTCATGAGTGAGAAATAGTGGCCTATGGTCATAGGCGTCTGAGGTGTGGGGTTACTTGTTACAAAGCAAGAGTTAACTAATAGAGATTTCTACCTCACATCCCTATGAATCAAAGAACAAAGGAAATAAAACAAAATGTGAAAAGCAGATTTCCAATTTTTAGAAGAAAACAGAGGACAGATTTTATGACACTAAGCAGAGAAAAACTTTTTTTAATATGACACAAAACACAGACACCATAAAAGAAATTACTGATAAATTCAATTGTATTAAATGTAGAAACTTTGATCTGACAAAAGAGGTGATGAATAAAGTTAAAAGACAAAGACAGTGCATGATATGGTTTGGCTGTGTGTACCCACCCAAGTCTCATCTTGAATTGTCCTCCCATAATTCTCCTGTGTCGTGGGAGGGACCTGGTGGGAGATAATTAGAATCATGGGGGCGGTTCCCCATACTGTCCTCCTGGTAGTGAATAAGTCTCATGAGATCTGACGGTTTTATCAGGGGGTTCCACTTTTGCATCGTCCTCATTTTTCTCTGGCCACTGCCATGTAAGAAGTGCCTTTCACCTCCCACCATGATTCTGAGGCCTCTTCAGTCATGTGAAACTGTAAGTCCTATTAAACCTCTTTTTCTTCCCAGCCTGGGGTATGTCTTTATCGGCAGTGTGAAAATGGACTAATACAGTGCACCAGTAGGGAAAACATATTTGTAAGACATTTGGCCAAAAAAGCATTGATATCCAGATCATTAAAATCAAAATTGGCCAGACGTGGTGACTCATGCCTGTAATCCCAGCCCTTTGGGAAGCTGAGGTGGGTGGATCACCTGAGGTTGGGAGTTCGAGACCAGTCTGACCAACATGGAGAAACCCCATCTCTACTAAAAATACAAAATTAGCCAGGTGTGGTGGCACTTACCTGTAATCCCAGCTACTCAGGAGGCTGAGGTGGGAGAATCGCTTGAACCCAGGAGGCAAAAGTTGTGGTGAGCCATGATCATGCCATTGCACTCCCACCTAGGCAACAAATGCAAAACTCCGTCTAAAAAAAAACTAGCACTTACAAGTCAGCAAGGAGAAACCAAAGACCCAACAGACATATGGGCCAGGAGCAATTCACAGAGGAGGAGACCCGAAGGACTGGGAAACACAAGGCACGCATTCAGCTGCATAGCAAAATCCAGGAACAATATCAGAAAGTAAGATAACAAATATTGATGAAGATGAGTGAAGATGGATGTGCGCACTGCTGGCGAGGGGCATTGTGAGGTCTCCAGCCCCAAGGTCATCTGGCTGTGCTTCCTTGGAAGGAAGGGCTGACAACAGACCTTTCCCAAGACCCCAAGCCCTACGAGGCTACGTGCAGGCCTTGGACCAGAACATCGGCATCACCTTGGGGTGGGGGTTGCAGGGGGGGTCGCGCATCCTTTGCTCACCAGAAATGCAGAATTCTAGATTCATCTGGAAGATATTGTTGAGGGGAAAAGCAACTTTCAGGAGAGTATGTATGGACTGCTATTTGTATAAAATTGCAAAAACAGACCAAAGAACACTATCCATTCTTCACGGACATGCACACTAGGTATTAAACATGGATGGGAAGACACACATTGACTTCAGAATAGTGGGGAGGGAGGCGGTAACTGGACTAGAAAAGGGACATATAACTTGAGCGTCAGCATGAACATTATGGCTGAATCCGTAGTTTTCTTCCCTTAAACTCTGGAGCAAATGCATCCAAAAGCTACCACGTTTGAATTTTAACTGGGAGGTACATGAAAGTTTGATATCATTATCCTCTACATAGTCCTGTGTGTTTGTAATATTGAGCCATATTTTTTAAACACTTGACACAGCATGAAAGGAAACTTGCCTACATGGTAACGATGGTTATCTTTAGGAAGCAGAATTCAAGACTGCTTCTTTTTCTTTTTTTCCTACTTGTATATTATCTCTATTTCCCTGTGTGAGGATTTATGACTGTTGTGATGAAAAGGCTAGTATTCTAACTCCCTGCATCATAAGCACACACCGTGCCCTGGCTGGCAGGATGGGGAGGAGGTAGCATGTCTGTTCACCTGGCCAGCCCTAGGCAACTCTGCAGAGAAAGATACAGGCATTTCCCCTCTGCAGCCAAAGAGTTAAGAAGGCTCGATGTGAAATGAATCATTCTAGGGGAGCTAAATCCCGGCCTTATCTAATTCTGTATCCTGAGGCTGATTAATTTAAACTCAAAAATAAAATAAACATCATCTTTAAATAGGGATTAAATACTCAGTGCGGTCCTTAGTTGAACAAACTGACATACATTTTATGGTATGGATTCAGGGGGCCCGGGGTGGGGCGAGGGGTATCTGTGGGGATGCTCTCTGAGCTAAGGAGAGAAAACCGCCAGTGCTCCTGGATTCCGGAGTGCATTCACCTTTAGCCTCTTGTCTGGATACCCGCAGAAAACCAAAGAGCCACCCTGTGGCAGGATCTTCACACAGGAGGTGGGCTTGTGCCCTGTGTCCCCAAAGGAGAAGGGATTATGGAGAGAGTGGGTGAGGAGTTTGGAGGAAGCCCCTGATATTCTTAGAAAACAGTAGGAAAGTGATCCCCTTGCCTGGGCATTGTTCCCAAATAGGAGACAAGAGCATGAACTAAAAACAGAGACTCTCAGCTCCCTCCTTGTTCCCTGAGTTCAGAAGGGAACCCAGGGAGGTGGGGCAAGTAAAAAATTGAGTGGGCTGTCTGACATGTGCCTGGAGGGACCCACGAACCTGAGTCAGGCATGAGAGTGGGCAGCTGGTGGATTCCTCCAGGCCTGTGGCACAAAGCCAGGCAGACGTCCCAAGAACAAACCATGTCTGCAGAGGCCTCTACTGCATCCCTGCCTCATGGGCACAATGTCACAGAACAGAATCACACCATGGGGAGGCCATGTGCAGTGTGAGTGTCATATGGGAGCTGGACCCAGTAGGTCCCAGACCCAGGTCCAGCTACGTCTCTGTTATAGTCAATGTTTGGGTGCCCCTAAAATCCGTGTGTTGAAACCTAACCCCTGATAGGTTAGGTTTGAATTAGGAGGCAAAGACTTTAGGAAGTGATTTCACCATGAAAGCAAAGAGCCCATGAATGACCTTGAAGCCCATGAAGTGGCCTTGTAAAAGGGAGCCAAGGGAGCTTGTTCTCTTCTTCCACCATTTGAGGACACAGCTAGGAGGTGCCCTCTATAAGGAACAGGTCCTCAACAGACACCCAATCTGTCAATACCTTGACCTTCCACTTGCCAGCATCCAGACCTATGAGACATAAATTTCTGCTGCTTATAAGCCCCCTAGGCTAAGGTATTTTGTTACGGCAGCCCAAATGGAATAAGATAGCCTCTGACCATCTTGAGCAACTCACTTATCTGCTGAACTCTCCACAGATTTAACTGTGATGAAATCCCTTCAACAGATGTATATTGAACACCTACTGTGTATAAGGGCACACTGTGTTATTGGATAGGGTATAAAGCAAGTCACAGTTCCCCAGAGGTAGGCACTGCCATAGCTGAAGAGCAAACCCAAGTTGCTGTTGCCAATGGGGGAAGGGGTGGGTGTCAGAGAAGAAGAGAACTTGCCAGAATCCATATCTGCAGCAATATTGGTACGTCTAATGGATGGTTCCCAAAGTGGTGACTTCTCATCTTCTTACAAAAACTCATAGTTGTCTCTGTGTAACATCTTCCCAGAAGTGCAGTGCAGTTGAGAATATGCAGATCAGAAAAGAGAAGAGGACAGAGAGCAGATTCTTGACATCAGCAGCCGCAGACTTCTTGCAGTAAGGAAAGCATTTCTCCTGGATCCCTGGGTAGCAGATAAATGTACAGAAATACATTTGTTGGCTATTTGATTCATGGACTTTGAATATTTGCAGACTGAGAGGCTGAGAATCTTCTCCAACCAGATAGTGTGGGGAGTGGAAGTACAGAAAGGGAACAAAAGAGGAGGAAAACAGAGCAATGAGAAGGGAGCTCTCAGCATGACCAACACAGAGACCTGGGTCTCTGCTACCAACAATACGAGCTAAGGTATAATGATTGCAGGTCTGTAAACAGCAGGCTTTCCATATCACATGTGGCAAGCTCTGATGACAACCCTGTGTGACAGGTATTATTGTCAGAGGCAGAGAGTTGCTAAATAATCACACACAACTGGTGGAATGCCGGAGAGTTTGGTTTTACTTGGTCATCTTCCTGTTTGCTTTTTATTTGTCTCATCTGTAGTTTGTTCTCCTTTTCCTCTTTGACTTCTTTTGAATTTGCTGAGTATTTTTATTTCATTTAATCTTCTTAGTTGGCCTTTTACATATAACTATTTTTGCTTCGTTTGGTTTTGAGTTTTAATCATTGCTCTATGGTTTATGGTATATCATATGGTTTGGATCTCTGTCCCTACCCAAATCTCATGTGGAAATGTAATCCCCAATGCCAAACATGGGGCCTGGAGGGAGGTGATTGGATCATGGAGCCAGTTTCTCATGGTTTAACACCATCCCCACTTGGTACTATGTAGCAAGTGAGTTCTCACAAGATCTAGTTGTTTAATAGTGTGTGGCACCCCCCCCCCTTTCTCTCATCCTCCTGCTCCAGTCACATAAGATGTGCCTGCTTCCCCTTTGCATTCTGTCATTATTGTAAGCTCCCTGAGGCCTGCCCAGAAGCCGAGGAGATGACAGAACCACGCTTCCTGTACAGCCTGCAGAACTGTGAGCCAATTAATCCTCTTTTCTTCATAACTTACCCAGTCTCAGATATTTTCTTTTTTTTTTTTGAGATGTAGTCTTGCTCTGTCGTCCAGGCTGCAGTGCAGTGATGCAATCTCGGCTTACTGCAACCTCCGCCTCCCTGGTTCAAGTGATTCTGCTGCCTCAGCCTCCCAAGTAGCTTAGCTGGGACTACAATCATATGCCACAAGCCCACCTAATTTTTTTTTGTATTTTTAGTAGAGACAGTGTTTCACCATGTTGGCCAGGATGGTCTCAATCTCTTGAACACGTACTCCACCTGCCTCAGCCTCACAAAGTGCTGGGATTACAGCGTGAGCCATCATGCCCAGCCCCAGTCTCAGACATTTCTTTTTTTTTTAAATTTATTTATTATTTTTTTAAGTATTATTATTATACTTTAAGTTTTAGGGTACGTATGCACAACGTGCAGGTTTGTTACATATGTATACATGTGTCATATTGGTGTGCTGCATCCATTTACTCGTCATTTAGCATTAGGTATATCTCCTAATGCTCTCCCTCCCCCCCACCCCACCCCACAACAGTCCCCGGTGTGTGATATCTCCCTTCCTCTGTCCATGTGTTCTCATTTTTCAATTCCCACCTAAGAGTGAGAACATGTGGTGTTTGGTTTTTTGTCCTTGCGATAGTTTGCTGAGAATGATGGTTTCAAGCTTCATCCATGTCCCTACAAAGGACATGAACTCATCATTTTTTATGGCTGCATAGTATTCCGTGGTGTATATGTGCCACATTTTCTTAATCCAGTCTATTATTGTTGGACATTTGTGTTGGTTCCAAGTCTTTGCTATTGTGAATAGTGCTGCAATAAACATATGTGTGCATGTATCTTTATAGCAGCATGACTTATAATCCTTTGGGTATATATCCAGCAATGGGATGGCTGGGTCAAATGGTATTTCTAGTTCTAGATTCCTGAAGAATCGCCAAACTGACTTCCACAATGGTTGAACTAGTTTACAGTCCCACCAACAGTGTAAAAGTTTTCCTATTTCTCCACATGCTCTCCAGCACCTGTTGTTTCCTGACTTTTTAATGATTGCCATTCTAACTGGTGTGAGACGGTATCTCATTGTGGTTTTGATTTGCATTTCTCTGATGGCCAGTGATGATATTGTGGTTTTGATTTGCATTTCTCTGATGGCCAGTGATGATGAGCATTTTTTCTTGTGTTTTTTTGGCTGCATAAATGTCTTCTTTTGAGAAGTGTCAGGCATTTCTTTGTAGCAGTGCAAAAACAGACTAATACAGTATATGTATTTAACTTAGCATTGGCTGCCATCAACATTATACCACTTCACATAGAGGATAAGAACCTTAAAACAGTGCCCATTCATTTCCCTCCTTTTGGGTTTTATGTTATTGTTTTCATGCGTTTTACTTCTATATGTGCTGTAAACTCACATTAATTTGTTATGATTTTTGCCTTAAACAGTCAATTGTCTTTTAAAAATGCTTTTTAATGTTGTATTTTTGCTCACACGTTTGCCATCTCTGGTGCTGTACATTCTTTTTTGTAGATCTGGACTTCCATCTGGTTTCACTTTTCCTCTGCCTGAAGGATTTCCTTTAATATTCCTTGTAGTGAGGACTTGCTGGTAATGCATTCTTCAAGCTTTTCAATGTCCAAAGGTCTTTATTTCACTATCATTTTTGAAAGATATTTTTGCTGAGTGTAGAATTCTAGACTGGCAATCGTTTTATCCTTAAGTATTTTATAGAAGTCACTCCACTATCCTCTGGTTTGTATTGTTTCCTTTCTTTTTTTTTTTTCTTTGAGACAAGGTCTCACTCTGTCACCCAGGCTGCAGTGCAGTGGCATGATTCCAGCTCACTGAAACCTTTACCTCCTGGGTTCAAGCAATCCTCCGGCCCCAGCCTCCCAAGTAGCTGTGACTACAGGCATGCGCCACCACACCCAGCTAATTTTTGCATTTTATGTAGAGGCCAGGTTTTGCCATGTTGCCCAGGCTGGTCTAGAACTCCTGGGCTTAAGTGATCATCCTGCCTTGACCTCCCAAAGTGCTGGGATAACAGGCATGTGCCACCACGCCTGACCTTGCATTGTTTCTAACCAGATGTCTGCCATCTTTTTTTTTTTTTTTTTTTGAGACAGAGTCTCCCTCTGTCACCCAGGCTGGAGTGCAATGGCGCCATCTCAGCTCACTGCAACCTCCGCCTCCCAGGTTCAAGCAATTCTCCCTGCCTCAGCCTCCTGAGCAGCTGGGGTTATAGATTCGTGCCACCATGCCCTGCTAATTTTTGTATTTTTAGTAGAGATGGGGTTTTGCCATGTTGCCCAGGCTGCTCTTGAACTCCTGGGCTCAAGTGATCGTCCTGCTCCAGCCTCCCAAAGTGCTGGGATTACAGGTGTGAGCCACCACACTCAGCCTATTTTCATCTTTGTTCCTCTCTGTATAATGTCCTTTTCCCTTTGGTAACCTTTCAGATTTTCTCTTCGTCACTGGTTTGGGGCAATTTGATTATGATGTACTTCAGTGTGTCATCCTCATGTCTCTTGTGCTAGGGGTTCATTGGTTCTTAGATCTCTGGGTTTACAGTTTTTCTCAAATTTAAATTTTCTCAGCCACAGTTTTTTCAAATATTTTTTCTTCTACTCCTCCCCACCTTCTTCAGGAATTCCAATTACACATATATTATTCCTACTGGTGCTGATTTTCTGTTCAGTTTTTTCCATTATTTTCTCCATGTTCCATTTTTGATAGTTTCTACTGCTACATCTTCCAGTTGACTAATCCTTTTTTGTATAATATCTATTCTATTTCAAATGCCATTTAGTATATTTTTCATCTCAGACATTGTATTTTTCATCTCTAGAAGTTCAAGCTGGGTCTTCCATGTCTCTACTTCCATGTTCTAGCTTCCCTTTACCTACTTCTTGTGGAATATTATCATTACAATAACTGTTTTAATATCATTGCCTACTAATTCCATCTTATTTGTCATTTCTGTATCTATTGATCAGTTTTCTTCTCATTATTGAAACATTTCCTTTTTCTTCACATGCCTGGTAATTTTCAGCTGGATGGCAGACAACATGAAATTTATCTTATTGTGTGTTGGATATTGTTGGGTTCTTATAAATATTATTGAGCTATGTTCTAGGATGTAGTTAAATTATCTGGAAAGATTTTGGTTCTTTGAGGGTTTTCTTTGAGGTCTTGTTAAGTAGGACCTTAGCAGCCTCGGCCTAGATCTAATCTTCCACACTACTGAGGCAATTATTTTCTGAGTGTTCCATCCAGTGGTCCGGGAAGTATAAGATTTGTCCACTGTTGCTGGTGGGAACACCAAATATGCCTGGTTCTGTGGGAGGTTCAAACATTGTTCTTTCTGTTTCCTTCAGGTATTTTTTCCCCCAGATTGTAGTTTACACACATACATGTGCTGATCAGTATTTAGCTGAAGACTCTGGAGGTTTTTGTTTTCTGACTTTGTCCTTTTCATGCCCTGAATACCCTGCCCTGCAGCCAACTTATCACAACCTGCCTCTCCCATAGATTTATTGTAGAAGAACTCAACAATCTCCATGTCGACAAGAAATGGTCCTCACTCTAAACCATCACCATTGGATTTAGATCATGGGGCTGTCCTGTCTTTAGTATGGAACTGAAAATCTTTGATTTCCACAAAAATGTAAGGTTTGGGCTACAGCCTTATTAAAACAGACAAATATGAGCATAGTGATCTACAGATGGAATATCTGGGGCTCTAAACAAACTACTACTTGAAAGTATAATCACTGTCTTTTTGTTTGTTTCTTTAGCCTGGTAGGACAATGTCAGAAATTTCCTTGGGAAATATATAGGGAATAAAAAACATAGTTTGAACAAAAGCAGCAATAAAGCTACAAACTATTTTTTGGTGTATTTGCTTAAGTATAAGATAGCTGATTGGGGCTTTATCATGTAACGTTAGTTTGCTTAGTTTTCATTAAGTTTGTTAAACTTGAATTGTGAATAAATATATGGCTGATTCATATTGTAATTAAACTGCACATTGACATAAACTGTACGTTAAAAGTTGCTGCACATTGTCACCCAAAATATTACTTAGGTAAAACCAAAAATACTATAAACCAATGTCAAGGAACCTACCCTAAAATAAAAATACAGTTAACATGGAATTTCAAAACTAGAATGTGTGAAATATTTACTCATAATATCTTGTTTGGAACATTGATATAACACTAGAAAAGAATTTTTCTAAATAACTACAATGTTCAACTGTGACTGTGCATCTGTGAAGACCAGGCATTTTGAATCATTGCCCTGTGGTGTGTGGCAGTACAATTTTACAAAAATGCACTACAATAATTAAAATCTAATGGGAAGATTTTAATCAATAAGTATTTACACTATAAATATTTATAATATTGGTGCTATTATTGTACAAAATAAAAAAGCTGTATTACAGCCTTTAAAATCAAATAATAGCCTTACTTTTCCATAAAAGAAAAAATATAAATTTTATGAAATATGGTTAAGAGTAATTGATAAAATAAAAATTGGGGCATAAATTATATTATAGTTTGGATAGAGGTTGAAAAAAGTGGATGAAAATTTTAATGAGCCCTTTTTGCCTGCACTAAACTTAATCTTATAGGTGAACATTATAATATATATATAGGGTATCTACTAACTATCTAATTTACTTTTTTCACAATGTATAAATCCTAGCCTATTGGTCTTAATATTTGAACCTAAAATAACACACAAACATACAAGAGAACAAAATAAGGAAGAAATGTATGGAGACAGTGACATTATCAAGGTGGTGGAATAGGGGTTCCCTACTTTTGTATTCTCCTGCAGCAATAAAAACTAGTCAGCCATCCATCAACCAAAGTAACTTTATGAGAGATCCAGGCACAGTGGCTCATGACAGTAATCTCCTCCATTCAGGAGCCTGAGGCGGGAGGACTGCTTCAGGCCAGGCGTTCAAGAACAGCCTGGGCAATATAGTGAGCTTTGGGTTACAGGGCATTATGAAACCTTGCTAAAACCCAAGATCGAAAAGAGCCATTTTGAGAAGGCAGGACTTTTGGTTAATAAGGTGTCATATTATCCAAAGCAATCTGTAAGTTAACTCAAATCCCTATCAAAATCCCTGTCCCACTTTTTATAGTAATAGAAAATGCAAGCCTACAATGTAGGCTGAATGGCAAAGCCAATCATGAGGAATAAGAAAAAAGCTGGGGACATCATACTCGTGACTCGCACAAAACAGTTCAAAAGTCACTGTTTGTAGATAACCTGGTGAAAAACTGCTAGGTACTCAGTGGGAGCCACACTCACCCACACATCTGCTATTAGGCCCAGCATATAGCAGAACCTGCCCTAGTGCCTGCTCCACAAAACAAAGCCCTGAAGACAATCCAGCCTGCACAAAAACATGACAGAACTCACAACCACACGTGCTCCTGGTAACAAGCCCATTAAAGGTAAAACCGACTTCAGATTCGGCAGCCACCTTGTGACGCAGCTACAAGCCTTTTTACTGCAAACCCAGTAAAGATCGCATCAGCCTCGAGACCTAACAGATGAAGATCTTTACCTACTATAACCAGTTTATAAAAATGAAAAGAGGTGACTGGGCACGGTGGCTCACACCTGTAATCCCAGCACTTTGGGAGGCCGAGGTGGGTGGATCACGAGGTCAGGAGTTCAAAACCAGCCTGCTGAGGCAGAGAATTGCTTGAACTCAGGAGGCGGCTGTTGCAGCGAACCAAGATCGTGCCACAGCACTCCAGCCTGGGTGACAGAGCGAGACTCCATCTCAAAAAGAAAACAACAACAACAACAACAACAACAACAACAAATGGAAAGAGGTGTTTGCTCCTTCAAATGTGCAAACACCAATGCAAGTCTACATTATGCCCATTCTAACGGTTCTATTTTAACATAGAACTGGAAGTCCTACATAGAATAATTAAGTCCTACATCAAATAATTAAGCAAGAAAAGCTAAAAGATCCATATTGAAAAGAAGAAATAACGTCACTGTTTGTAGATGACATAATGTTATATATAAAAAATATAAGTAGTACATTTAAATAATACATTTAATGGAACTATATATAAATAGTGCATCTAATGAATGCACTCAGTAAAGAAGCAGAATAAACAATTAACATACAAATATGAGTTTTGTTTCTATATGCTAGCAACAAACCAGTAAAAAAGAAAAAAAAAATCTCATTTACAATAGCAACCAAATAATAGATTTCTTAGCAATAAATTTCACCAATGTGGCGAAAGATCTTTACAATAAAAATAAAATACATTGATAAAAAAATTAAAGAAGATACTAATAAATGTAAATATATTACATGTTTATGGATTAGAAGAATATTGTCTAAGTGCCATATTATCCAAAGCAATCTGTAGATTAATTCAACTTCCTATCAAAATTCCTGTGCCACTTTTTACAGTAATAGAAAATAAAGTCTGCAATGTATATAAAACTATAAGAAATATTGAATGGTCAAACCAATCATGAGGAATAAAACAAAATCTGGGGACATTATATTTTATTATTTAAAATTGCATTTCAAGACTACAGTAAACATAATAGAATGGAATGTTTATAGGAACAAACACAAAAACCAATGGAACAGAATACAGAGCCCAGAAGTAAATCTATGCATCTAAAGTTAATCTTTGACAAGGGCACTATGAATACACAATACAAAACGTGTAGCCTTTTCAATACTTAGTGCTGGGAAAACTGGGTACTCGCAAGCACAATAATAAAACTTGATCATATTTCTTACACCAGACACAAAAATTGACTTAAAATAAAGACTTACATTTAATACATAAATCTTTAAAAGAAAATCTTTAAAAAAGCATATGAAAAGCCTTCATGATACTGACCTTGGCAATGTTTTTTTTAAATATGATATCAAAAATATAGCAATAAAAGGAGGCATAAAGTTGTAGTGTATTAAAGTATTGTGCACAGCAAAAAATAAGAAAACATTTAAGATGGGATAAAATATTTGCAAACTATATATGATAAGAGGTTAGTATTCAAAATATAGCAGAAACTCATACAAATCAGAAGCTAAACAATAATAATTATAATACCCAACTAAAAAATAAGCAAAAGACTAAATTTTTTTTATATTATTATACTTTAATTTTAGGGTACATGTGCACAACATGCAGGTTAGTTACATATGTATACCTATGCCATGTTGCTTTGCTGCACCCATTAACTCATCATTTAGCATTAGGTATATCTCCTAATGCTATCCTTCCCCCCTCCCCCACCCCACAACAGGCCCCGGTGCCTGATGTTCCCCTTCCTGTGTTCATGTGTTCTCATTGTTCAATTCCCACCTATGAGTGAGAACATTCGGTGTTTAGTTTTTTGTCCTTGTGATAGTTTGCTGAGAATGATGGTTTCCGGGTTCATCCATGTCCCTACAAAGGACATGAACTCATCATTTTTATGGCTGCATAGTGTTCCATGGTGTATATGTGCCACATTTTCTTAATTCAGTCTATCATTGTTGGACATTTGGGTTGGTTCCAGGTCTTTACTATTGTGAATAGTGCCGCAATAAACATATGTGTGCATGTGTCTTTATAGCAGCATGATTTATAGTCCTTTGGGTATATACCCAGTAATGGGATTGCTGGGTCAAATGGTATTTCTAGTCCTAGATCCCTGAGGGATCACCACACTGACTTCCACAATGGTTGAACTAGTTTACAGTCCCACCAACAGTGTAAAAGTGTTCCTATTTCTCCACATGCTCTCCAGCACTTGTTGTTTCCTGACTTTTTAATGATTGCCATTCTAACTGGTGTGAGACGGTATCTCATTGTGGTTTTGATTTGCATTTCTCTGATGGCCAGAAATCGTGAGCTTTTTTCATGTGTTTTTTGGCTGCATAAATGTCTTCTTTTGACAAGTGTCTGTTTATATCCTTTGCCCACTTGTTGATGGGGTTGTTTGTTTTTTTCTTGTAAATTTGTTTGAGCTCATTGTAGATTCTGGATATTAGCCCTTTGTCAGATGAGTAGGTTGCAAAAATTTTCTCCCATTCTTTATGTTGCCTGTTCACTCTGATTGTGGTTTCTTTTGCTGTGCAGAAGGTCTTTAGTTTAATTAGATCCCATTTGTCAATTTTGGCCTTTGTTGCCATTGCTTTTGGTGTTTTAGGCATGAAGTCCTTGCCCATGCCTATGTCTTGAATGGTATTGCCTAGGTTTTCTTCTAGTGTTTTTATGGTTTTAGGTCTAACATGTAAGTCTTTAATCCATCATGAATTAATTTTTGTATAATGTGTAAGGAAGGGATCCACTTTCAGCTTTCTACATATGGCTAGCCAGTTTTCCCAGCACCATTTATTAAATAGGGAATCCTTTCCCCATTACTTGTTTTTGTCATGTTTGTCAAAGATCGGATAGTTTTATATATGTGGCATTATTTCTGAGGGCTCTATTCTGTTCCATTGGTCTATATCTCTGTTTTGGTACCAGTACCATGCTGTTTTGGATACTGTAGCCTTGTAGTATAGTTTGACATCAGGTAGCGTGATGCCTCCAGCTTTGCCCTTTTGGCTTAGGATGGACTTGGCAATGCAGGCTCTTTTTTGGTTCCATATGAACTTTAAAGTGTTTTTTTTCCAATTCGTGAAGAAAGTCATTGGTAGCTTGATGGGGATGGCATTGAATCTATAAATTACCTTGGGCAATGTGGTAATTTTCACAACATTGATTCTTCCTACCCACGAGCATGGGATGTTCTTCCATTTGTTTTTATCCTCTTTTATTTCATTGAGCAGTGGTTTGTAGTTCTCCTTGAAGAGGTTCTTCTCATCCCTTGTAAGTTGGATTCCTAAGTATTTTTTTTCTCTTTGAAGTAATCGTGAATGGGAGTTCACTCATGATTTGGCTCTCTGTTTGTCTGTTATTGGTGTATAATAATGCTTGTGATTTTTGCACATCGACTTTGTATCCTGATACTTTGCTGAAGTTGCTTATCAGCTTAAGGAGATTTTCGGCTGAGACAACAGGATTTTCTAGATATGCAATCATGTCATCTGCAAACAGGGACAATATGACTTCTGTTTTTCCTAATTGAATGTCCTTTATTTCCTTCTCCTACCTGATTGCCCTGGCCAGAACTTCCAACACTATGTTGAATAAGAGTGGTGAGAGAGGGCATCCCTGTTTTGTGCCACTTTTCAAAGGGTATGCTTCCAGTTTTGTCCATTCAGTATGATAGTGGCTGTGGGTTTGTCATAGATAGCTCTTATTATTTTGAGATACATCCCATCAATACCTAATTTATTGAGAGGTTTTAGCATGAAGTGTTGTTGAATCTTGTCACAGGCCTTTTCTGCATCTACTGAGATAATCTTGTGGTTTTTGGCTTTCATTCTGTTTATATGCTAGATTACCTTTATTGATTTTTGTATGTTGAACCAGCCTTGTATCCCCAGGGATAAAGCCCACTTGATCATGGTGGATAAGCTTTTTGATGTGATGCTGGATGTGGTTTGCCAGTATTTTATTGAGGATTTTTGCATCAATGTTCATCAAGGATATTGGTCTAAAATATGCTTTTTTTTGGTTTGTCTCTGCCAGGCTTTGGTATCAGGATGATGCTGGCTTCATAAAATGAGTTAAGGAGGATTCCATCTTTTTCTATTGATTGGAATAATTTCAGAAGGAAGGGTACCAGCTCCTCCTTGGACCTCTGGTGGAATTCGCTTTGAATCCATCTGGTCCTGGATTTTTTTTGGTTGGTAAGGTATTAATTATCTCATCAATTTCAGAGCCTGTTATTGGTTTATTCAGAGATTTAACTTCCTCCTGGTTTAGTCTTGGGATGTTGTATGTGTTGAGGAATTTATCCATTTCTTCCAGATTTTCTAGTTTATTTACATAGAGGTGAATTATTCTCTGATGGTAGTTTGTATTTCTGTGGGATCAGTGGTGATATCCCCTTTGCCATTTCTTATTGCATCTATTTGATTCTTCTCTCTTTTATTCTTTCTTAGTCTTGCTAGCAGTCTATCAATTTTGTTGATCTTTTCAAAAAACCAGCTCCTGGATTCATTGATTTTTGAAGGGTTTTTTGTGGCTCTATTTCCTTCAGTTCTGCTCTGATCTTAGTTATTTCTTGCCTTCTACTAGCTTTTGAATGTGTTTGCTCTTGCTTCTCTAGTTTTTTTAATTGTGATGTTAGGGTGTCAATTTTGGATCTTTCCTGCTTTCTCTTCTGGGCATTTAGTGCTATAAATTTCCCTCTACACACTGCTTTGAATGTGTCCCAGAGATTATGGTATGTTGTGTCGTTGTTCTCATTGGTTTCAAAGAACATCTTTATTTCTGCCTTCATTTCGTTATGTACCCAGTAGTCATTCAGGAGCAGGTTGTTCAGTTTCCATGTAGTTGAGCAGTTTTGAGTGAGTTTCTTAATCCTGAATTCTAGGTTGATTGCACTGTGGTCTGAGAGAGTTTGTTATGATTTCTGTTCTTTTACATTTGCTGAGGAGTGCTTTACTTCCAACTATGTGGTCATCTTTGGAATATGTGTGGTGTGGTGCTGAAAAGTGTATATTCTGTTGATTGGGGATGGAGATTTCTGTAGATGTCTATTAGGTCCACTTGGTGCAGAGCTGAGTTCAATTACTGGATATCCTTGTTAACTTTCTGTCTTGTTGATCTGTCTAATGTTGACAGTGTGGTGTTAAAGTCTCTGATTATTATTGTGTGGTGGTCTAAGTCTCTTTATAGGTCACTAAGGACTTGCTTTAGGAATCTGGGTGCTCCTGTATTGGATGCGTATATATTTACGATAGTTAGTTCTTCTTGTTGAATTGATCCCTTTACCATTATGTAATGGCCTTCTTTGTCTCTTTTGATCTTTGTTGGTTTAAAGTCTGTTTTATCAGAGACTAGGATTGCAACCCCTGCCTTTCTTTGTTTTCCATTTGCTTGGTAGATGTTCTTCCATCCCTTTATGTTGAGCCTGTGTGTGTCTCTGCACGTGAGATGGGGTTCCTGAATAGAGCACACTGATGAGTCTTGACTCTTTATCCCATTTGCCAGTCTGTGCCTTTTAATTCGAGCATTTAGCCCATTTACCTTTAAGGTTAGTATTGCTAAGTGTGAATTTGATCCTGTCAGTATGATGTTAGCTGGTTATTTTGCTCATTAGTTGATGCAGTTTCTTCGTAGCCTCGATGGCCTTTACAATTTGGCATGTTTTTGCAGTGGCTGCTACCAGTTGTTCCTTTCCATGTTTAGTGCTTCCTTCAGGAACTCTTTTAGGGCAGTCCTGGTGGTGACAAAATCTCTCAGCATTTGCTTGTCTGTAAAATATTTTATTTCTCCTTCACTTATGAAGCTTAGTTTGGCTGGATATGAAATTCTGGGTTGAAAATTCTTTACTTTAAGAATGTTGAATATTGGTCCCCACTCTCTTCTGGCTTGTAGAGTTTCTGCTGAGAAATCAGCTGTTAGTCTGATGGGCTTCCCTTTGTGGGTAACCCGACCTTTCTATCTGGCTGCCCTTAACATCTTTTCCTTCATTTCAACTTTGGTGAATCTGACAATTATGTGTCTTGGAGTTGCTCTTCTCGAGGAGTATCTTTGTGGCGTTCTCTGTATTTCCTGAATTTGAATGTTGGCCTGCCTTGCTAGATTGTGGAAGTTCTCCTGGATAATATCCTGCTGACTGTTTTCCAACTTGGTTCCATTCTCCCTGTCACTTTCAGGTACACCAATGCAACATAGATTTGGTCTTTTAACATAGTCCCATATTTCTTGGAGGCTTTGTTCATTTCCTTTTATTCTTTTTCCTGTAAACTTCTCTTCATGCTTCATTTCATTCATTCCATCTTCCATCGCTGATACCGTTTCTTCCAGTAGATCACATCGGTTAATGAGGCTTGTGCATTCGTCACGTAGTTCTTGTGTCATGGTTTTCAGCTCCATCAGGTACTTTAAGGACTTCTCTGCATTGGTTATTCTAGTTATCCATTTGTCTAATTTTATTTCAGTTTTTAACTTCTTTGCCATTGGTTTGAACTTCCTCCTTTAGCTCAGAGTTGTTTGATCTTCTGAAGCTTTCCTCTCTCAACTCGTCATTCTCCATCCAGCTTTGTTCCGTTGCTGGTGAGGAGCTGTGTTCCTTTGGAGGAGGAGAGGTGCTATGATTTTTAGAGTTTCCAGTTTTTCTGCTCTGTTTTTTCTCCATCTTTGTGGTTTTATCTACGTTTGGTCTTTGATGATGGTGACGTACAGATGGGTTTTGGTGTGGATGTCCTTTCTGTTTGTGTTTTCCTTCTAACAGTCAGGACCCTCAGCTGCTGATCTGTTGGAGTTTACTGGAGTTCCACTCCAGAACCTGTTTGCCTGGGTATCAGCAGCAGTGGCTGCAGAACAGCGGATATTGGTGAACCAAAAATGCTGCTGCCTGATGGTTCCTCTGGAAGTTTTGTCTCAGAGGAGTACCCGGCCGTGTGAGGTGTCAGTCTGCCGCTACTGGGGGGTGCCTCCCAATTAGGCTACTCGGGGGTCAGGGACCCACTTGAGGAGGCAGCCTGCCCATTCTCTGATCTCAAGCTGTGTACTGGGAGAACCACTACTCTCTTCAAGTCTGTGGGACAGGGAGAATTACGTCTGCAGAGGTTATTGCTGTCTTTTGTTTGTCTGTGCCCTGCCCCCAGAGGTGGAGCCTACAGAGGCAGGCAGGCCTCCTTGAGCTGTGGTGGACTCCACCCAGTTCGAGCTTCCTGGCTGCTTTGTTTACCTACTCAAGCCTGAGCAATGGTGGCAGCCCCTCCCCCAGCCTCACTGTCACCTTGCAGTTTGATCTCAGACTGCTGTGCTAGCAATGAGCAAGGCTCCATGGGCATGGGACCCTCCGAGCCAGGTGCAGGATATAATCTCCTGGTGTGCTGTTTGTGAAGCAGGTTGTAAAAGTGCAGTATTAGGGTGGGAGTGACCCGATTTTCCAGGTGCCATCTGTCACCCCTTTCTTTGACTAGGAAAGGGAATTCCCTGACCCCTTGTGCTTCCCAGGTGAGGTGATGCCTCACCCTGCTTCGGCTCATGCGCGGTGTGCTGTTCCCACTGTCCTGCACCCACTGACCAGCACTCCCCAGTGAGATGAGCCTGGTACCTTAGTTGGTAATGCAGAAATCACCCATCTTCTGTGTCACTCACGCTGGGAGCTGTAGACTGGAGCTGTTCCTATTCGGCCCTCTTGGCTCCACTGACCGAGACTAAATATTTTATACAAACATATTCAAATGGCCAAGAGATATGTAGAAAGATGCTAAACATTACCATTCATGAGAAAATTGCAAATAAAAAGATACCACTTTACAGCAGTTGGAATGGCTAATATCAAAAAAAGAAACATGACAAGTGTTAACAAGGATGTGACAAAATATTTCTGTACAGTCTTAATGAGTTGCAGACTGGAAGAGTCATGAAAATTAGCACACAGTTTATTTTAAAAAATAGAATATCGTACAATCCCGAAATTTCACTTCTCTAAATAAACAAAATAAAATCAGCATCTCAAAAATTATCTGCACTCCTGTATTCAATGCAGCATTATTCACAACTGTCAAGGATATTTTTTTTTAAAAATGACTTATCTGTAGATGCTGAATGGATAAGGAAAATGTGGTATAAATAGACAACCGAATATTATTCACCCATAAAAAAGAATGAAATTCTGCTATTTCAACAACATGAATGGACCTGGGTATATTATGCTACGTAAAATAAGCCAGGCACAGAAAGACAAACACTGTGTGTTCGCACTTAAATGGAGAATTTAAAAAGCCTGAACTTATAGAAGCAGAGAGTACAATGGTAATGACCAGGCCTGGAGGTAGAAAAAATGAGAAGGTGTTCAAAGAGTACAAACTTTCAGTTATAAGATAAATAAGTTTTGGGGGTCTAATGTACAGCTTTAAGATGTAGTTAATAACAGTGTTTTGTATGCTTAAAATTTGCTACAACAGTAGGAGACCTCAAATGCTCTCACTACAAAAAACATAACCATGTGAGGTGACATAAATGTTCATCAACTTAATTGTATTAAACATTTTACAATATATATCTATCAAATTTTTATAATGTACACAATACATAATTATGCAATTTTTATTGGCCAAAAAATTAATGTTATGTACACATGCATATATTCATATAAGTGTGTATATAGACATATATAAAACATATACATATATATCAATTACATATGTTGTTATGTATATAATTGTGTGTGTGTGTATGTATATATATATATATATATACACACACACATATCAATGACAAAATCCTAGTAAGCTTCAAACTAAGCAAGGCAAAATTGTAAAATGATAACTATTTAAAAATCAGGAAACAAATGGGTATTTAATACATGCTCAACAATATTTTGAGTTCCTCAATGGCAAAGTACACGTTTTAAATGTAGAAAGTAGATACATTAAACCATATTACAGTTTAGGAATTATGGCACAGAGTGTTTACAGTATTAGCCTCAATACATACCAAAAACTTAAAATTTTGAAGTAAAATAACATTTGGTTTTATTATATGGGGCAGATGCTTAGTATTCTGATAAAATTATTGAGTATGAATTTCTGTAGAATCACTTTTGAAACCTTCACAGGATATGAAATTATAAAGCAGAAAAGTTACGACATCTGGATATGGTGTTTCTGTGATTTCTAAACCAAATCCCAATATCTCCACTGCTCTCACACATTTTAGACAAGACTCAAAATGGAAATTAGAAAATGCTTATCATAGAGTTCCTTAAAAATCACAGACAGCTCCATGTCCTCAAAAGCAATAAAAGAGCAAGCAACCATGTCCTCCAGTCCCTTATAAGCCATGCAAAGGGCTTTGATTTTCTTTGTAACCTAGAAGAATGATCGTTGAAGGGGAAGTTCAGTCCTAGAAAATTGAAGAGCATGGGGCAGAGGATGTCAGTCTTTAACGAAAGCAAGAGAAATAAATCAGGGCTTCTCAGAAAAGATTTCCATTGAAGCATAGCTTCGCAAACCACACTTTAAGATCTGGCTTTCTCCTTGACCTTTGGACATCTCATCTCTGTCATCTGCCTTATTCACTCCCACCTATTTGGATGTTTGGCTACTATCCCCTGTCTCTTCACACTCTGGGGCTTTTTCTTTTACTCAATATAGGTGATCAGGTTTAGCTTAGAGAAGAGCCAAGGACTCTGTATTAAAAAAATTAATATGACTTATGCTGTGATTTTCCAATTACTACTTAGTATTCTGCTCGGTGGAAAAAAACAGAACATTATAAAAGAGTCTAAAAATGTAATACCAAATACTATTTCCACACAGAAACGTTATGATATTTAAAAACTTTTCTAAATTTGTGGATCCTTAGCTCCACAACCCAGTGCTACTGAATCAAAACTTGGTGGTGGTTGGCTGGTCATGGTGACTCACACCGCCGATCACAGCACTTTGAGAGGCCAAGGCAGGCAAATAACTTAAGCCCAGGAGTTTTAGGCCAGCCTTGGAAACATCGCGAGACCTAGTCTACGGGTTGAAGGTGGGGAGGAGGGGGAAAGGTGGTGGTAATGGGAGGTGGTAATGCGATTATAAGGTGTGGGCAACCATATTTTGTGCCTCTAAATTTGTGGAGTTACCACTAATCTAAAATTAAGGATACAGATCAGCTGAAGAAAGAAAAAGATTTATGTCGAGATGAAACTTCCTCGTGGGGGTCTGCAGCGGCAATACCGCCAGATGGCAGCATCCCACCTCTTTCGCCTGGCTGCAGCCCCACCAGGAGCCCGGCTCCAGCCGGGGCGCTGCAGCAGGTACTAGACCTGGAAGGCACAGGCGCGGATTTCCTGCCCTCCGGGGTGTCTTCCTGCTCCCCGGACCCCAGGCAATTCAACTCATTCATCAAGCGCCGCCGCAACCATCCAAGTTGGGGCAGCAGGTCCCACAGTCGCCAGCCAAGACCTCCGCTCCAGAACCGGTGGGCTGCTTTCCCGGGGGAAGGACATTGTCTTCGCCAGCCACGAAGAAATCCGTCCCTGTGCACCCTGTTTCCCATTGCCACCAACGTCGTGTAAACTCTAGTCCCGAGGACACGAGAGAGACCCAGACCTGGCCCCGTGGACACGCTCGGTGCCACGGCTTCCACCAGATGGACCGGTGCACTCTACAAATCTCGGGGCCCACCGCATCAAGGAGACAGAAAGAAGCAAACAAAGGAAGGACCCTATGAAACGCACCCCCAAAGCAACCAACCAATCCAAGAAAAAAAAAACACGTCTCAGGGCTCCGTTGGTTTTCCCGCGTGGGTGGCCCTGACCCCCTGTTCTACCCTGGCCCAAGCACCCTCCACCTCACCCCGGCCTGCTCAAAGTGCCCTGTCTACCTGAGCAGAGCCTCCCTCTCCAAGGCTCTGTCTCTCTCTCTCTACAACTCCCTCACCCTCTCTCTTTCTCTACTTCCCCCTCCAACTCTCGCTCTTCTGTCACCTTCTGTCTCTCTCCCCCTCCATTTTTCTCTCTCTCCCCCCATTTGTATCTCTCCATCCCAGTCTCCTTAGCTCTCTTTCAAGCTGTGTCTGTGTCTTTGTCTGTATGTCCTTGTGTGTGTGTCCGTGTGTGTCCGTGTGCGTGTGTCCATGTGTCCGTGTGTGTGTCTTTGTGTGTCCATGTGTGTATGTCCGTGTGTGTGTGTCCATGTGTGCCTGTGTGCATGCACCCATGTGTACCTGTGTGTGTGTCGGGATGGGTTTGCTCGTGGTAGTGGTGGGGTGTGTCTGGGTGTCCCTCAGCCCCTCTTTCCCGGGGATCAGGCTGCCAGGGCTCTAGTGCCAGCGCGTGGCAAAGCAGTGCCTTCCTGTCCCGTTGGCCACTGGTAGGTCCTCTTCGGGACAAGCGACGATGGTGTGGACCTTGTGAGAAAAAGGGCCCGCAGGGCTGGGCTGCTGTTCGCCCCTGGGCAGCCCTGACGGCTCTGGGTGTGTGGGCCAAGAGGGGGCCTTGCAGGAGGGGTGCGAGGGATCCAAAACAATTTTTCCGCTGCAAGGCGGAAGACCAGAGGGGATCCCAGGACTGTGGGCCCCGGGCCCTGACGCCTGCAAGCACACCCTGTCCTGAGCCAGCCAGATGTGTTGGAAACTCAGGAGCTCGCGAGCCGGGGGAAGGCCTGGAGTGCCAGCGAAAGGGAGGCCGCCTGGTGGGCCTTGAGCCTGGGCAGGGGACTGAGGCATCACGGCCTGATGAAGGATTCCTGTTTCCTGCAACATGGGGAGTCTCCAAAGTGGCCTGTTTGGAAACCAAAGGAGAGCGAAGACACGATGCTGCTTTTCCACGCTTCGCTGGAGGTTTCTGTGCCCCACAGAGCTCGGGAAACAAACAGTCAACACGGTCACGCTTTCGGGGGCCAGAGACACGTGAGCAGCAGGCCCACTTGCAGAGGGCAAAGGAACGTGGAATCCGGAATCATGGTTCACTCGGCTTGAGTGTGACTCCTGTGTGGATGGGAGTATCTGCCTCGCGCTCTGTTGCAGGCTCAGCGTGGGGATATGTCATCTGTGAACCATGTGGATGAAAAACGGACAACCATTCGAGTCTCGGCTCTGTTCTTTGGGGAATTCGCTCATTCCTTGGGAGGCGGAATTCCTCTGAATCGCTCCCGGATGAAGTAACCCAGGCTGGCAATCCCGAGGGTCGGTGAGCGCACCGCCAGCCGACGAGGCTGTGGGCTGAGCACTCAGCCTGCACTGGGCACCCAACATTTTCCCGGAGTTCGAAGTCCTGCTGGTCCTGGAGGCAGAAGACTGTTTTTCTCTTTGCCTTCCTTTCTCTGTTTCTCGCTCTTTTTCTCCCTCTGTCCATCCTTCCCTCTGTTCTTCCTTCTCTCCCTCTCTCCCTCCCTGTCTCCCTCCCTCCCTCTGTTCTTCTCTCCTTCCCTCTTTCCCACCATGCATACCTCCCTTTCTCCCTCCTTCCCTTCCTCCCTTCCTCTCTTTTTCTTTCCCTCCCTCCCTCCCTCCTTCCCTTCCAAGGTCCGTCCTTTCCTCCCTCTGTCCCTCTCTCTCACTTTGTCTCCGTTCCTTTCCCCATCTCTGCCTGGCCTCCCTCCCGCCTGGAAAGGGCAGAACCACGGTTTGCGCGAGATCTCGGGGTCTACATTTAGTTGCTGGGCGCTCCACGTGATGCCGAGGAGGATGGCAGGGCACGGGTGGGCGAGGGAGGGTGGAGCGGGGAGGTAGTGGAGTTGAGCTGCGGAAAGGAGAGCAGGGCTGGCCGCTGCCCGGGTCGGTATTTCCCGGGATGAAGGTCTCCGCCTACACCACTGAAGAACATGGGGGCAGGGGGGTGTACTGCGTGGGGGGGCGGGGGAAGGGATGAGAGCCCTGCCTGGGCTGATCCCAAACCCTAGCCAGCTGCCCGCGGACCTGCGCATGCGCAGTAGACGGCCCATCTCTGAGTACCTGGGCTGGCTCTGAAATCCTTGGGATGCTCAGGAAAGAATGACAGCCCTCCTTTCTGTGGAGTCTCTCGCCGGGCCTGGACTCAGGGATCCTAGACAGGTCAGCTGGAAGGGAAGACACAGGTCTCCATACGGAGCCAGAGGTTCACCACGAAAGAGGAGCCACCGCCCTGCCCCCACCCGGTCCCAACCCCCGTCCTAAAGCTCCTCCAGCTGAGCCCAGTGTTCTTCCTGGCTGAGGAGTGGTTCCAGAAAAGCGGGCTCTTCCAAGTCCTTCAACTCCCCCAGCGGCTCCATTGCTAGGAAAGGTTATGCCTTTTGCTGAAATTCTGGGGTCGACAGGAACTCATATAACAGGGTGGATGCGAGTACAGATGAAGACTCCAGCTCCTGGAGCCGTTGGGAGGGTGCCTGGATGGCTTACATCTGCTTCTGACACACAGAGGCCTCCATGAGCGCGAGCTGCGGAGGTAGATGTGCCTCCGCTTCGCATTCCCACGCGCCCTGGCGACCTGTGGACCCTGGCCCCAGCCCCAATACGGACTCATGTGGGACGTGTGAGGCGCAAGCACACCTTGAGCCTCAGTGGCCCAAGCTATCCCATTGAGCTCGCACCCAGAAAGCCACCGTACTGCGGGTCCTAGTCCTCCTGCCATCTGTTCGGATGCAGAGGTCACCCAGGTGTCTGAGGGTGGGACAGCGCCACTTCCGAAGGAGCCAGGGCAGCAAACCCAAAATCCCCGTGTGCCACGGCAGGTTGGGAGATTCCTTCTGCTTGCGAAGCCTGGCTGGGCTGCAGCAGAGGGGCGACCCTTGCTGTCTGGCTCACGAAAGCCCCCTGTTCCCCACGCCCTGGCGTGGGTGAAGGTGACCAAGGAGAGAGGGTGGCACCCGCTGTGGGCCGCGTTGCACAGGCCGCCTGCGTGCGCGAGTTCCCTGCCACCCTGGCCTGGATGCCTGGACCTTCGATTCTGACACGAAATCTGAATCCTGGACTCCAAAAGGCAGGTCTCTCTGGCCAGTTCGGGTACGGGTTCTGCTCAAAGCACGCTGGCAGGGCATCTTTTTCATTCAGGTTACAAACGAGTCTCCTTTGCCGTCCTCGTTCTCGGGCTTCCGCGGGGAAGGGGCTGTCAGAAGGTGTCGGGAGAGCCATCACGAGGGCACCTGGCCGGAATTTCATGGATAGACACGGGCAGAGAGAGGCCGGCGGCTCCAGTGCACCTCAGTTGGCCTCTGTGTTGCACGCAGGTCCAGGCAGGAGTCCAACCCCGCCAGTGGCCCTTATAAAGACCCACCAGCTTCACCCCTTCATGAATATGCATGAGCACCCAAGGGCCCTGGGTAACCCGCCCTCCGAAGGTCCCAGAAACCACAGACACAGGGCCTTGTGTGGTAGGTGAAGGTGGGGCCAGATCGGCAGGGAAAGGGGGGCTTCTGGGGCTGGCTCTCTGAGTTCTCCACAATTCTACAGAAACTAGAAGTTTATCTCTGGGCTCACACAAGATTTCAGGGAGAAACCACCCTGGAAGGGTGGAGTGTGGAACTGAACCTCCATGATAGTCTTGAGTTTTCCAGACCCTCTCCCTGAAGGTGGCAATGCCTGTGGGTGTCGCCGTTGCCATGATAGTCTCACACACGCAGGTGTGTGGATCTCATTCATTTTCTTTTTTTATTTTCATTTTTTATTTCTACCTCTTAAAGTCAATGATAAAGTCACAAGTGTAAAGTGATTGCATTTAAAAACATAAAAGATGCATTTCAATGACAAGAAATATGCAATGATCATGAAAATCTACTGTACACTTTGCCAAGGTCAAAGAATGAAAGACAATATTGAAAAGCCATTCTTCAAATATATCCTTAACAAAAACTCTCTCCTACATAGTAAAAGCATCATCTAAACAGCAGCTCCAACCAAGAAAAAAATAAAAAATAAAAAAAAAATAAAACAGCAGGATAGATGGGACAGATAACTTTCCCCAGGTTTTCCAGATAAAAACATGTGGTCACCAGGAATTCAAGGTAACTTCAAAAGCCACATTTAATTGAAAATAAAATGAATATTTCTGACAGATGACAACAGCATGATACTGATTTTTTCTTTCCTAGATACAAATGATATGGGGCATTTCTTAACAGTTTAGTAATCATCTAAGAATAACTGTAGAAATAATCCCAATTCGACCATCCCAGCCACTGGTATAAAACAAATAACCTTCCATTGATACTGTCTTTCACATAACTAAAATATCCTCACTTACTTGGAACAGTTTCATGCTTACACATGATCACAAACACTTGTTTTTAGATGTTGTGGAATTATTGGAGCTGAGATTTTTGAAACAATATATGAATCTTAGCAGAGAGCAAATAATCCTTTCACCATACATTGATTGGGCTTCCTTAACCAAATCTGAGCAACTACTATAATAATAATGCTAGTGGTAATCCCTGATACTCTCAAATTTTTCCCTTTAAGAAATATATAATCCATGTAACTCTAGCAAATACGTTGCATTGCACACTTTCTTAACAAGGAATGGCTGTTTTCAGGCCTTATTAGGAAAACAAAGAAACAAACAATGGCAGTTACTACCTGTTTTTTTATCACCGGTAAGCTACAATAATGCTCAAATATGACAGTATAATTGTATGATATTAAGTAAGAAATGAAAACCATTATAGTTTTACCAAAAGAAACATAAAAAAATATAGGAAGAAGTCAAATGAGCATGGCGTAAGTCCCAAAGATTACACTATGATTCTGAACAGGATTTTCTAAACAAAGGGTATCTACATACAATTTCTGTGAATATTTCTTGTACTAGAAATATCCAAAGCAAATGTAGGCTCAGCCCTACCTTGTCAAAGATAAATATTCAGATAAACTAGAAGTTCCATCTGCTAAAGTGCATACACTGAGCAGCTCTACCATGGCCCTGCTACTTACAGCCGTCTAAGAAAGTGGCTTTACTCATGCTCATTCACTCGTTCTGTGGCCTATCAAGAGTCACACATAACAATGGTTTTGCTTTTTTAAAAAAACAAATACTTTATACAGTGAAATACAGAAAAAACAATTCTAAATATACTTTAAAAATTCTAGAGAGTTAAGGTAACCTCATTTTTTAAAATATTGAAAATGTAAAGGGTCCATATAAAGAGTTGTATTAAGTATATATTTCCTATTTTAATAATTCACTTGCTGCCCTCTTAAAATCTCTATGAGAGAAGCAGATATTTTACTCATGTCTTTTGGCAAGAGATTCAAAAGCAAAAGTAGCAGGGCTGTAAAATTTCATAAAATTTGTGGGATTTTTTAAAAGCTAAATTATTCAATATTTTGAATTGTTATTGCACTCATATATTGCCCGGAATATATATACAGCAACCCAGCAATAGTGATTGCAACAAAAGTAAGGTAAATAGATCTACAAAGCATTTGATTTCCTTATTAGATAAATGAAGTTTTCATTTATCTAATAAATTCAGATCAGGTTACATAAGCTTAACAATTATTTAAACCTTATATAAAATTAAATCTAACCCTCACCCCTACAGTTCTGTAAGGAATCACTGTCAGGAATCTACAGGACTTGGCTCGTATTTACATTCGACGCACACTTAGAAATTTCATAAATGATGAGATGCAGGCCAAGGGGATTCCTCAAAGGGCTCCACCCAAAAGGAAAAGAAAAAGAGTTAAACAGAGAATTACCACTTACGTATTTGTGGGTAATCAGCTTATTCCTCAGCCTCTAGACAGTGAGGAGGATGAAAAAATGGAAGAAGATAACAAAGAAGAGGAAGAAAAAGATCACAGTGAAGCGATGAAGCCAGAAGAGCCACCTCAAAATTTACTGACAGAAAAAATCATGAAGCTGACTCTCCCTGAATCTTTAAAAGCTTACTTGACATATTTTAGAGACAAATAACTTAGATCAAGAAGAAAGAATGCCTACTGATAATTCCTTTAGTCTTGAAAATGTAGCATTTGTTAGGAATTAAAAGAATTATTTATTTCATCAGAGCAAATTATAGTGGAAAAAATATCTACTTGTTACTGTCAGTAACATAAATGATGTATTGAGTGAATAAAAGAATCCCTTTTGTAAAATCTATTTTTCTTTAAATCTTGGAAAATTGTTGTTTCGCCTCAGAGTGATTTCAAAGTGGAATGTAACAGTAGTCAAGACTTGTGTGCTATAAATCCTTTTCTGATTCCTTACGGATCTCGTTCATTTTCATGTAGAAAACGAGAGCGAAACTACAGAGAAAAGAAACACCCGGTGCATCACGGCCTGACGATGGATTCCTGTTTCCTGCGACATAGGGAGTCTCCACTAGGACCTGTTTCCAAACAGGAAACTGGAAAGGAGAGCGAAGACACGATGCTGCTTTTCCATGCTTCTCTGGAGGTTTCTGTGTCCCCACAGAGCTCGGGAAACAAACAATCAACATGGTCACCCTTTCGGGGGCCAGAGACGCATGAACAACAGGCCCCCTTGCAGAAGACAAAGGAACGTGGAACCCGAAACCACGCTTCAGTCGGCCTGAGTGTGACTCCTGTGTGTACGGGACTATCCACCTCGCGCTCCGTTGCAGGCTCAACGTGGGGCTATCTCATCTGTGAACCACGTGGATGAAAAATGGACAATCACCCGAGTCTCGGCTCATTGCTCTCTGGGCAATTCGCTCATTCCTTGAGAGAGGAAATTCGTCTGAATCGCTCCGGGATGAAGTAACCCAGGCTGGCGATCCAGAGGGCCGGTGAGAGCCCCGCAGGCCGACGCGGCTGTAGGCCGAGCACTTAGCCTGCACTGGGCACCCAACATTTTCCCGGAGTGCGAGATCCTGCTGGTCCTGGAGGCAGAAGACTGCTTTTTTCTCTGCCTTCCTCTCTCTGTTTCTTGCTCCCTCCCTCCCTTTTTCCCTCCGTCCCTCTCTCAGTTCCTCCCTTCTTCCCTCCCTCCCTCCTTCCCTTTTTCCCTGCGTCCCTCCCTCAGTTCCTCCCTTCCTCCCTCCCTCCTTCCTTCCCTCTCTCCTTCCTTCTATCCCTCCATCCTTTCCAAGGTCCCTCGGTCCATCCGTTCTTTCCTCCCTCCATCGCTCCCTCCCTCTCTGTCTCCGTTCCTCTCCTCCTCTCTGCCTGAGTTCCCTCCTGCGTAGAAAGGGCAGCACCCTGGTTTTCACGGGGTCTCGAGTCTGCATTTAGCTGTCAGGCACTCCAGGTGATGCCGAGGAAGCTGGTGGGGCAAGGGTAGGCGAGTGACGGTGGGGCGGGGAGGCAGAGGTGGCGAGACGCGGAAAGAAGAGCAGGCCTGGCGCCTGCCCGGGCCAGTGTTTGCCGGGATGGAGGTCTCCGCCTGCCCCACTGAAGAACGCGGTGGGGGGCAAGAGGGATAGAAAACCTAGGCTACTGCCTGCTAACCCGCGCATGAGCAGTAGACAGTCCGTCTCCCGGTACCTGGACGGGCCCTGGGATCCCCGGGATGCTCAGAAAAGAATGACAGCCCTCCTCTGAGTGGATCCCTCACGGGACCTGGAACTCAGGGATCCTAGGCAGGTCAGCTGAAAGGGAAGACAGGCCTCTCTATACCAAGTCAGAGGTTCACCGCGAAAGAGAGGCCGCCGCCCTGCCCCTACCCCGCCCCAACCCCCGGTCCTAAAGCTCCTCCAGCAGAGCCCGGTGTTCTTCCTGGCTGAGGAGTGGTTCCAGCGGAGAGGGCTCTTCCACGTTCTTCAGCTACCCCAGTGGCGCCGGATCTAGGAAAGGTTGTGCCTTGTGCTGAAACTGTGGGGTTTACAGGAGCTCATCTAACTGGCTGGGGGTGAATGTAGACGAGAGCCCCGGCTCCTGGAGCGGTTGGGCGGCGCCCGGATGGCTTGCATATGTGCTTGACGCGGAGGCCTCCGGGGTCTCGAGCTTCGGAAGTGGAGGTGCCCCGTCTTCCGTTTCCCACGCAGCCCTGGCGACCTGGGGCTCCAGCCCCACCGCGGACTCCGGTGGGACGTGGGTGGCGCAAACACACCTTGCCCCTGTGACTCAGCTTCAGAGGACCCAAGCTGTCCCACTGAGCACGCGCCCAGCAGGCCACCATGCTGCGGGTTCTGGTCCTCCTGGCATTTGTTGGGGTGTGGAGGCCACCTAGGAGTCTGAGGGTGGAACAGTCCTACTTCTAGAGGAGCGAGGGCAGCGAACGCAAAATCCCCCGCGTGCCGGGGTAGGTTGAGAGATTCCTCCTGCCTGCGCAGCCTGGCTAGGCTGGAGCGGAGGAATGGCCTTTGCTCCCTCGCTCACGAAAGCCCCCTGTGGGAGAGCCCCAGTCGTGCAGGGAATGTGGGGTGTGGGAAGCCCCGTTCCCCACGCCCCGGTGTGGGTGAACTCGATTGAGGAGGGAGGAGGATGACACCCACCGGGGGTGTTAATTAGTAAGCACAGTGGCCTCAAAGAGCTCAAATGAAAGGAAGAATTGCATGTCTCTCACTTGAAGTCCAGAGCTAGAAATGATTAAGCTAGTGAAGATGTAAAATTTTCATCGCTAGAGAGACGTCAACACTTGGCTTCAAAACTTCAAAGGATGGGCTGACTCTCTTTGAGGACCACTGCAGTTGGTGACTTTAAGTTACAGCCAATGCTCATTGACCACTCTGAAAATCTCAGGGCCCTTAAGAATTATGCAAAATCTATTCTTGCTGAGCTCTAGAAATGGAACATCACAGTATGAGTGACAACACATCTGTTAAGAGCATGGTTTACTGAATATTTTAATCCCACTATTGAGACCTACTGCTCAGATAAAGAAAAAAAAGAAAAAAGAAAAAAAAAAACACGATTCCTTTAAAGGGATTGCTGCTTGGCCAGGCACAGTGGCTCACACCTGTAATCCCTGCACTTTGGGAGGCTGACGTGGGTGGATCACCTGAGGTCAGGAATTCAAGACCAGCCTGGTGGAAATGATGAAACCCTGTCTCTAATAAAAATACAAAAAAAAAAAAAAAAAAAATGAACCAGGCATGGTGGTGGTACCTGTAATTTCAGCTACTTGGGAGGCTGACGCAGAAGAATGGCTTGAACCCTGGAGGCGGAGGTTGCAGTGAGCCGAGACCATGCCACTGCCCTCCAGCCTGGGCAGCAAGAGGGAAACTACATAAAGGAAAAAAAAAGAAAAGAAAAGAAAAGAAAAATGTAAAAAGATTGCTGCTTATTGACAATTCACCTAGCTACCCAGAAGCTTAGATGGAGATGTACTTGGAAATTAATGGCTGCTAATACAATATCTATCCTTCAGCCTGTGGATCAAGGGGTGGTTTTGACTTTCAAGTGTTTTTATTAAATAATGAATGCATTTTGTAAAGGTATAGCTGTCATAGATAGTAATTTCTTTGATGAATCTGGATAAACTGAATTGAAAACCTTTTGGAAAGGTTTCACCATTAATCCCTTCATGATATTCCAACCTATTCCCATGAATCACAAATGTCCTTAATAGCAAATGCCATTAAGGACATTTGTGGTTGTGGGAGGAGATTGAAATATCAACATTAACAGGAGTTTGGAAGAAGTTGATTCCAGCCCTCTTGGAAGACTTTGAGGGCTCAGGATGTCAGTGGAGGAAGTCCCTGCAGATGTGGTAGAAATCGCAAGACAACCAGAATTAGAATTAGGGCCTTTAGATGAGGTTAAATTGCCATAAACTCATGATGAAACTTGAGCAAGTGGGGAGTTGCTTCTTATGGATAAGCAAAGAAAATATTTTCTTGAGATGGAATCTACTCCAGGTGGAGATGCTATGAACATTGTTGAAATAACAACAAAGAATTTAGAATATTCCATAAACCTAGTTGATAAAGCAGCAGCAGGGTTTGAGAGGGTTTACTCCAATTTTGAAGGAAGTTCTACTGTGGATAAAATGCTATCAAACAGCATCACATGCTACAAGGAAATCTTTTGTGAAAGGAACAAACTTCATTGTTTTAAGAAATTGACACAGGCACCCAAACTTCAGCAGCCCCCACACTGATCAGTCAACAGCCATCAACATAGAGGCAAGACCCTCACTGTAGAGAAAAGAAAGAGAGATCAGACTGTTACTGTGTCTATATAGAAAGGAAAGACACAAGAGACTCCATTTTGAAAAAGACTTGTACTTTAAACAATTGCTTTGCTGAGATGTTATTAATTTGTAGCTTTGCCCCAGCAACTTTGCCCCAGCCACTTTGACTCAACCTGGAGCTCACAAAAACATGTGTTGTATGAAATTAAGGTTTAAGGAATCTAGGGCTGTGCAGGATGTGCCTTGTTAACAAAATGTTTACAAGCAGTATACTTGGTAAAAGTCATCGCCATTCTCTAGTCTCAATAAACGAGGGGCACAATGCACTGCAGAAAGCCGCAGGGACCTCTGCCATTGAAAGCGGGGTATTGTCCAAAGTTTCTCCCCATGTGATAGTCTGAAATATGGCCTCATGAGATGAGAAAGACCTGACTGTCCCCCAGCCCGACACCCGTTAAGGGTCTGTGCTGAGGTGGATTAGTAAAAGAGGAAAGCCTCTTGAAGTTGAGATAGAGGAAGGCCACTGTCTCCTGGCTGCCCCTGGGAACTGAATGTCTCAGTATAAAACCCGATTGTACATTTGTTCAATTCTGAGATAGGAGAAAAACTGCCCTATGGGGGGAGGCGAGACATGTTGCTCACATGTTTTTTGCTGACCATCTCCTTATTATCACCCTGCTCTCCTACCACATTCCTTTTTGCTGAAATAATGAAAATAATAAGCCATAAAAACTGAGATATCTCAGAGGCTGGTGCCGGTGCATGTCCTTGGTATGCTGAGCGCCGGTCCCCTGGGCCTACTGTTGTTTCTCTATACTTTGTCTCTGTGTCTTACTTCTTTTCTCAGTCTCTCATCCCACCTGACTAGAAATACCCACAAGTGTGGAGGGGCAGGCCACCCCTTCACTCACCAGCAAAAAGATTATGACTTGGTAAGGCTCAGATATTCATTAGTATTTTTCAGCAATGAGATATTTTAAGATAAGATATGTACACAGTTTTGTAGACATAATGCGATTACTAATTAATTAATTAATAATTAATTATTAAATACTCATTAGACTGCACATAGTTTAAGCATAACTTTTGTAAGCACTGGGAAACAAAATGTTTATGTGACTAGCTTGATTGTAACATTTGCCTTATTGTGGTTGTCTGGAACCAAACCCACACTATCTCTGAGTATGCTTGTAGGTTATTGGTTGTTCTTTGTTTTGAGATGGGGTTTTGCTCTGTCACCCAGGCCAGAGTGCAGTGGCATGATCATAGCTCACTGCAGCCTCAAACTGCTGGGTCAAGTGATTGTTCTACAACAGCCTCCTGAGTAGCTGGGACTACAGGCATGCAGCACTAGGCTTGCCTTTTT
>NC_000020.11:29307476-29315342 GCF_000001405.40 Homo sapiens | reverse complement strand
TCTTTAATGCTTTTTTTTGCAGAGACGGTGTCTCACTATGTTGCCAAGCTGGTCTTGAACTCCGGGGCTCAAGCAATCCAACCACTTCAGCCTCCCAACGTGAAGCCATTACAGGCTTGAGCCACTGCACCCAGCTTGTCTGTAGTTTTTAAAACAAAAACGGCCGGCGGTGGTGGCTCACGCCTGTACTCCCAGCACTTTGGGAGGCTGAGGCAGGTGGATCACGAGGTCAGGAGTTCGAGAGCAGCCTGGCCAAGATGGTGAACCCTGACTTCGTGATCCGCCCGCCTCGGCCTCCCAAAGTGTTGGGATAACAGGCGTGAGCCACTGGGGCCCGGCCCTGCCTTTTCTTTCTAATGGCACAAGCCCCATGGAGTGTGGTGCGCCTGATCTCCGAAGCTTTTGTACAGTGTAGAAAGTGTTGCTGTCTGTATTTAATTTTTTCCTACATGTATGGTTTCGATCGATCACAAGAAGATCAATAAGCCCCTCTCCTTATTCTACTTCCCTTTCTAGCAACGGAGAACTTTGATTGGATTTTTCCTGCCTACAGACAGGAATGAGTCTGCTGTTTTCTTTTTTAAACCCGAGGGACTGAGCCTGAGGGCCTCCAGCGCGGCCACCCTCCCCCAACCCCCAACTGGTGATTGTGGTGGTTGTGGTGGTGGTGGTGGTGGTGGTGGTTTTGTGTTCCAGCTTCTGTTCTGCTGTTGTTGTTGTTGTTGCTGCTGCTGCTGGTGCTGTTGTTGTTGTTTTGGTATTTTACAGACTCAGGGGGTGTATGTGCTTGTTTGTTAGATCGGCATACTACTGCCTTCGGATGTAGAAGTGGACCTCCTGTGTATCCGATACCTATGTGGTGAATGTTGTCTCCGACGGGTGATTTATTCATCCCTTGTCCCCCTCTTACCCTCCTCCTCCCCTTTGGAGTGTCTGTTATTTCCATCATGATGACCGTGTGAGTACCCACTGTTTATCTCCCACTTGTTAGTAGAAGGCAGTTCACTGGGTACATACTTGCTTCCAGCTCTATCCATGTTGTGGGAAAAGACGTGAAATCACTCTTTTTTGTGCCTGCACCTTTGGAGAATTTTAACTTTCTTGGTGCTTGTTTTTCTTTTCTTTTCTTTTCTTTCCTCCTCCTCCTCCTCCTTCTTTTTTTCATTTTTTTCAGCTGGGTTCTCCTACTTGTGTTGCTCAGTTGCTCGGGCTGGTCTCAAACTCCTGGCCTTGACACTTCTCCCAACACATCCACCGTCTGGTTGTTGAAATGAGCATCTCTTGTAAAATTGAAAAGATGAAAAAAATAAAGAGAAAGACAAAAAGCACGGGGTGAACGTTTCTCTTGCCACCACCCAGGGTGTACCTTGGACCCGATAGGAGGGAGGGAGCTTGGCTGAGTGGGTTTTCGGTGCTAAATCCTCCCGAGGGCCTCCTTCCCTCTCCCCCTTGTCTCCGCTTCTCCCCCAGCCAAGTCTCCCACCGCCTCTGTGGGATTTTCCATGGGAGAGGTATGGGAGAGGACTGACGCGGCTTCCAGATCTATACACTGCCAGACGTCTCTGGCTCAGCGTCCCCCACCGGCTGCCTGCCACCTTCCAGGGAGTTCTGAGGCCGATGCCCCGCCCCCCTTCACATCCCTCCACCCTCCCCTGGCTGGCCTTTGCCCGGCGACCCCAAGGGAACTGCGTTGACGCTGCTTTCAAATCCTCCAGCGAAGACTTCCACCAGATGCCTCGGGTGGGCCGGATGGGATGAGACTGGACCACCCCGGACCGTGCTGTTCTTGGGGGTGGGTTGACGTACAGGGTGGACTGGCAGCCACAGCATTGTAAAGGGTACCCAGGTATGGAAATGTCACATAGGATGCCCTCCTTCCCGTCAGCCTACCTTCAGCTTCCTCAGGCATGAAGACAACTTCCCATCAGAAGCTCTTTTCTTCCCTTTCTCCACCACACAGATGAGATGCATGAGAGGGAGAAACAGCTCAATAGATACTGCTGACCTTCATTTGTGGAATCCTCAGTCATCTACAGACAGAGAGGTGACTAGACAGGGACCCAAATCAAACACCATTTCTCGGTCCTCACTGTGGGGTTGGTCTCTCCCTCTCTCTCTCTCTCTCTCTCTCTCTCTCACACACACACACACAATTTCCACATCTAGTTCACAAACCACACTAATTTACCCTTTCACAGTACGCAGTCTGAGTAAAACCCACTCCACCCTCCACCCGGCAGCTGACGAAACTCCATCTCTACAATTTATAAAAAAGATTATCTGCGCTGGGCACAGTGGCTCACACCTGTCATTCCAGCACTTTGGGAGGCCGAGGCAGGTGGATCACTTGAGGCCAGGAATTCAAGACCAGGCTGGCCAACATGGTGAAACCCCATCTCTATGAAAAATAGAACAATTAGCCAGGCCTGGTGACATAAGCTTGTAATCACAACTACTCAGGAGACTGAGGCGGGCAAGTTGCTTGAACCAGGGAGGCCGAGGTTGCAGTGAGCTGAGATCATGCCATGGCAATTATTGAGACAGAGCGAGACTCTGTCTCAATAATAATTATAATATTATTGTAAGATTATTTTTGAATGCTGATCCCCGCCTGTAGTCGCAGCTACTCGGGAGGCTGAGATAAGGAGAAGATCACTTGAGGCCCCACAGGTCGAGGCTTCAGTCAGCTGTATCCTGGGCAGTCACCAGTCAAGGAGATATGCCCCTCCCCGTTTTCTTTTCTTTTCTTTTCTTTTCTTTTCTTTTCTTTTCTTTTCTTTTCTTTTCCTTTTCTTTTCTTTTCCTTTTCTTTTCTTTTCTTCTTTTTTCTTCTCTCTTCTTCTCCCTCCCTCCCTTCCTTCCTTTCTTTCTTCTTTCTTTCTTTCTTTCTTTCTTTCTTTCTTTCTTCTTTCCTTTCTTTTTTCCTTCTTTCTTTCTTTCTTTCTTCTTTCTCTCTTTCTCTCTTTCTTTCTCTTTCTTTCTCTTTCTTTCTTTCTTTCTTTCTTTCTTTTTTCTTTCTTTCTTTCTCTCTTTCTTTCTTTCTTTCTTTCTTCCTTTCCTGCCTGACTGCCTTCCTGCCTTTCTTCTTTCCTCCATTCCTCCCTTCCTTCTTTCCTCCCTCCTCAGCCTCCCAAAGTGCCAGGATTACTGGTGTGAGGCACCATGCCTGCTTGGCCTAAAGAGACACCCTTTGGAAGTAAGACACAGACAGTGCCTTCCAGTGATCTGATTGATTGATTGACTGATTTAGAGATAGCGTCTCGCTCTGTCACCCTGGCAGTGGTGCCATCATAACTCACTCACTGCAGTGTGGACGCTCCTGGACTCAAGCGATCATTTCACCTCAGCCTCCAGAGTAGAGTACCTGGGACCAGAGGCACGCGCCACTGTGCCCAGATCATTTTTATTTATTTATTTATTTATTTATTTATTTTTCCCAAGACAGAGTTTTGCTCTTGTTGCCCAGACTGGAGTGCAATGGCGCGATCTTGGCCCACCACAACCCCTGCCTCCCGGGTTCAAGCGATTCTCCTGCGTCAGCCTCCCGAGTAGCTGGGATTGCAGGCATGCGCCACCACATCTGGCTGATTTTGTATTGTTAGTAGAGACGGGGCTTCTCCATGTTGGTCAGGCTGGTCTCGAACTCCCGACCTCAGGTGATCCGCCCTCCTCGGCCTCCCAAAGTGCTGGGATGGCAGGTGTGAGTCACTGCGCCTGGCCTTCATTTTTAAATGTTTTTCCACAGACAGGGTCTCATCATTTTGTTGCAACCCTCCTGACCTAGCGTCTCAAAGTGCTGGCGTGACGGGCGCAAGCCACTGCACCTGGACTCCGGGGAATGATTCACGACCACGACCACTGTACTAATTCTTTCTTTCTTTCTTTCTTTCTTTCTTTCTTTCTTTCTTTCTTTCTTTTATTTTTTTTATGATTTGATTGATTGATTGATTGATTGATTTTGAGACGGAGTCTCGCTCTGGTCGAGGCGAGGCGGGGCGAGGTGCATCACTTTGGAAGCCGCAGCACCGCCTTCTAAAGCCCCATTCAAATGCACAAAGCCCTATTCCCTTCCTGGAGTTGGAGCTGATGCCTTCCATCGTCTTGGGCTTCTCTCCATTCAGAAGCTTTTACAGGCGCAACCCCACCCAGAGGCTGGCTGCGGCTGAGGATTAGGGGGAGTGGTGGGGCTGGAAACTCGGTCGCCTATTGTTGCAAGCTCAGCCAAGACATCCCCCGATCCCCATCGCTTGCTCACCCTTTGAGATCCCCTGACTCCACCGCCTTGGAGGCTGACCTCTTACTTTAATTTGTCTTTCTTCCTTTCCTGCGTTTGAGGAGAGGGTGCAGGAATGAGGGTGTGTGTGGGGAGGGGGTGTGGGGTGGGGACGGAGGGGAGCGTCCTAAGGTTCGATTTAGTGTCATGCCTCTTTCACCGTCACCACCGAAGATGAAAGCAACAATCAGCTAAATACCGCGTGTTCTCATCCATAAGTGGGAACTTATAGATGAGAGTTCTGTGTGGGCAGAACGAGGGGGACCAGAGACGCGGGAGCCTACTTGAGGGAGGAGGGGTGGAAGGAGAGACAGCTTCAGGAAAAAACAAAACAAAACAAAACATGAAAACTGTCGAGTACTGCGCTGAGTATCCGGCTGATAAAATCATCTGCACACTGAACCCCCCCGTCATAAGTTTACCTATGTAACAATCTTGCACATGTATGTTTGAACAAGAAATGAAAGTTAGGGGAGAAAGAGAGAGAGAGGGAGAGAGAGAGGGAGAGAAGGAAAGAGAGAGAGAGAGAAAGAAGTGAAACGAAACAGCACCTCCTGGACCTGAGTCAGGGGGTTTCCGGCCTTTTGGGGGAACATTCAGCGACAATGCAGTATTTGGGCCTGTTCTTTTTTTTTCTTCTTTTCTTTTTTTTGGACTGAGTCTCTCTCGCTCTGTCACCCAGGCTGCGGTGCAGTGGTGCTCTCTCGGCTCACTGAAACCTCTGCTTCCCGGGTTCCAGTGATTCTTCTTCGGTAGCTGGGATTACAGGCGCGCACCACGACAGCAGGCTATTTTTTCTATTTTTAGTAGAGAAGGGGTTGTTCTATGTTGGCCACGTTGGTATTGAACTCCTGACCTCAAGTGATCCACCTTTCTGGGCCTCCCAAAGTGCTGGGACGACAGGCCTGAGCCGCCGGGATTTCAGCCTTTAAAAGCACAGGCCCAGACACTTTTCGCTGTGGCCCTTACACTCAGAATGACGTGTCTTCTCTGCCATAGGTTAACTCCTTGAATCCCCTATGCCATTGCACTCTAGCCTGGGCAGGAAGAGCGAAACTCTGTCCCCCCACCTTCCCGTGCAAAAAAAAAATAAAAATAAAAATAAATAAATAAATAAATAAAATCTCTACACATGACCTGTAAGTGTGTATTCCCATGAGTGATTTCTAAGAAATGGCACCGTACACTGAACGCAGTGGCCCACGTCTGTCATCCCAGCACTTTGGGAGGCCGAGGTGGGTGGTTCACGAGGTCAGGAGTTCGAGACCAGCCTAGCCAACATGGTGAAACCCCGTCTCTACTGAAAATACGAAACTGAGTCGGGCGCAGTGGGGCAGGCACCTGTAATCCCAGCTACTCGGGAGGTTGAGGCGGGAGAATCGCTTGAACCTCGCAGGCGGAGATTTCAGTGACCCGGGATGGCACCACTGCATTACAGCCTGGGCGACAGAGTGAGACTTCGTCTCCAAATAAATAAATAAATAAATGAAAGAAAGAAAAGAAAAGAAAAGAAAAGAAAAGAAAAGAAAAGAAAAGAAAAGAAAGAGAAAATGAAAGAAAAAGCACTGTATTGCTACTGGGCTAGGATCTTCTCTCTGTCTGTTTATCTCTGTCTCTCTCTGTCCGTCTCTGTCTTTCTCTATCTGTCTCTTTCTCTGTCTGTCTGTCTCTTTCTTTATCTCTGTCTCTGTCTCTCTCTCTCTGCCTGTCTCATGGTGTCTGTCTTCTAACTCTCTTTCTCTGCCTGTCTGTCTCTCTATCTCTCCCTCCCTCTCTGTTTCTCTCTCTCTGTCTCTCTATTTCTTTTTCTGAGTCTCTCTCTCTCTCTCTCACTCTCTCTCTCTGTCTCTCTCTCTATGTCTATCTTCTGTCTTACTCTCTTTCTCTACCCATCTGTCTCTCTCTCTGTCTGTCCCTCTCCCTCCCTTTCTGTCCCTCTCTCTCTCACTCTCACTCTCTCTCTGTCTCTCTCTCTTTCTGTCTGTTTCTCTCTGTCTCTCTCTCCATCTCTGTCTGTCTCTCTTTCTCTCTGTCTCTGTCTGTCTCTCTCTGCCTGTCTCTCTCACTGTGTCTGTCTTCTGCCTTATTCTCTTCCTCTGCCTGTCTCTCTCTCTCCTTCCCTGCCTTTCTGTTTCTCTCTCTCTCTCTGTCTCTCTCTGTGTTTGTTTCTCTCTGTCTGTCTCTGTCTGTCTCTTCCTCTGTCTGTCTGTCTCTCTCTTTCTTTTTTTTTTTTTTTCCAGATGTAGTCTCACTGTGTCGCCCAGGCTGGTGTGCAGTGGCGCCATCTTGGCTCACTGAAAGCTCCACCTCCCAGGTTCACGCCATTCTCCTGCCTTAGCCTCCTGAGTAGCTGGGACTATAGGCGCCCACCACCAAGTCAGGCTAATTTTTTGTATTTTTAGTAGAGACGGGATTTCACCATGTTAGCCAGGATGG
Organism: Homo sapiens; assembly: GCF_000001405.40. NCBI lineage: Eukaryota > Metazoa > Chordata > Mammalia > Primates > Hominidae > Homo > Homo sapiens. The sequence goes on along the minus strand of NC_000020.11, from coordinate 29,308,633 downwards.
TCTCGATCTCCTGACCTCGTGATCCGCCCGCCTCGGCCTCCCAAAGTGCTGGGATGACAGGAGTGAGCCACCGCGCCAGGACTGTCTCTATCTTTCTCTCTCTCTCTCTCTCTCTCTGTGTCTATCTTCTGTCTTACTCTCTTTCTCTGCCTGTCTCTCTCTCTCTCCCTGTCTGATTCTCTCCCTCTGTCTCTCTCGCTCTCACTCTCTCTCTGTCTCTTCTTTTGCTTTTTCTCTCTGTCCGTCTCTGTCTGTCTTTCTCTGTCTGTCTTTTTCTTTCTCTCTGTCTCTGTCTCTCTCTCCCTCTGCCTGTTTCTCTCACTGTGTCTGTCTTCTGTCTTACTCTCCTTCTCTGCCTGTCTGTCTCTCTCCCCCTGTCTTTCTGTTTCTCTCTCTCTCTCTATCTCTCACTCTCTCCATCTCTCTCTTTGTTTCTCTTTGTCTGTCTCTGTCTCTCTGTCTGTCTGTCTGTCTCTCTCTCTGTCTCTCTCCCTCCCTGTCTGTCTGTTTCTCTCTCTTTCTCTCTTTCTGTTTCTCTCTGTCCATCTCTGTCTTTCTCTGTCTCTTTCTTTCTCTCTGTCTCTGTCTCTCTCTTTCTCTGCCTGTTTCTCTCACTGTGTCTATCTTCTGTCTTACTCTCTTTCTCTGCCTGTCTGTCTGTCTCTCTCTCTCCCTCCCTTTCTCTCTCTCTCTCCGTCTCTCTCTCTTTCTGTTTCTCTCTGTTTCTCTGTTTGTCTCTGTGTGTCTGTCTGTCTGTCTCTCTCTCTCTCCCTCCCTGTTTCTCTCTCTGTCTCTGTCTCTCTCTCTCTCTCTCTGTTTGTTTCTCTCTGTCCATCTCTGTCTTTCTATGTCTGTCTCTTTCTCTGTCAGTCTGTCAGAGCCCCTGTGCCGGGGAGGGCCCTGCCCCTTCCACGAAAGTGAGAAGCGCCTGCTTAGAGAGGCCGAGAGGAATCTGGACAGATGGGCCTTGCTAGGCTTCGCCACTCGGTGTATGATTTCAGGAGGTCGAGGCCGGGTGCCCACTTGGATGGAAGGTGCATTTTCAAACTTTTCTCTCTGTCACGTGTGGCGTCCCTACTTCTCGTATTTCCCTGATAAGCTCCTCGACTTAAAAATACACGGTTAAGGCCGGGCGCCGTGGCTCACGTCTGTCATCC
>NC_000020.11:29271826-29307456 GCF_000001405.40 Homo sapiens | reverse complement strand
GAGATCGCGCCACTGCACTACAGCCCGGGCTGTAGATTGAGTGAGACTTGTCTCTAAATAAATGAATAAATAAATAAATAAATAAATAAATAAATAAATAAATAAATGCATTCTTTTCCGTGCTGACTGACACTTGCAGGCATCGGTTGTCTTCGGGCATCACCTAGCAGCCACTGCTATTGAAAGTCGAGGTGACACGGAGGGAAGTCTTGCTGACTTCACCAAGCCTGGGGCAACGGGTTTCTATCTCTCCCTTCTGGAGGCCCCTCCCTCTCTCCCTCCGTTGCCTAGGGAACCTCCGCCCTGGCGGGGGCCCTATTGTTCTTTGATCAGCGCTTTAGTTTTCTTCGTGTGTTGGTTTCTTTCATGCGCATTGACCCTTCCACTTGGGTTTTAGGAGAGGTCAGTTTAATTTTCAAGTTGCCCCCCCGGATCCCCCCTCCCCAGGTCCCTTTACCTTCATTTAGTGAATCAGTTAGGTGGGTTCCCCCCAAACCCCCCACTCCCCGCCTCCCAACACCCTGCTTGGAAACCCGGAGCCACCCCGGTGCGCCTCCCTCTTCTCTCCCCTTCTAACACCCCTTGCCGGCGATCTCATTCTTGCCAGGCTGACATTTGCAACGGTGGGCGTCAGGCCTCACTCAGTGGCCACCGTTTTTGAAGATGAGGGTGGCATGGTCCCACTTCCCCAGAGACAGCTTGGACCGATGGCATAGCCCTTGACCCGCGTGGGCAAGCGGGCGGGTCTGAAGTTCTGGGGTTTTCCCCAGCTTCCTTCCTCAGGCCTCCCTCCCTAGGAAAGCTTCACCCTGGCTGGGTCTCAATCACATTTTATCATGATGTTTTAGTTTCTCGCCCTCTGGCCAGCATAGTTTCACAATGGGAACGGCGTCACAGCTCTAGTCTGGGCCTTCTTAGTATTTGCCCAAAATAGAAACGCTTTCTGACAACTAATACTTTGCTCACTTAAGATTTCCAGGGACGGTGCCTTGGCCCGTGTTTGTGGTTTTGTTTTGTTTTGTTCTTGTTTTTCCTTTTTAGTATGTATTTCTTTTCAGGTGAAGTAGAAATCCCCAGTTTTCAGGAAGACGTATATTTTCCCCAAGACATGTTAGTTGCTGTTTTCTCCTGTTGTTAACTAGCGCTTTTGTGAATCTCTCAACGTGTAGTGAGAGCCGGTTAATATTTACTATACTTCAGAACATCTTATTTTCTAGAAATCCGTAAGCAAATGCTGCTGCTGCTCTTGTTGCTGTTGTTGTTGTTGTTGTTGTTTTCAAAGCACACCCGGGCCACCGTTTATGGGATCAAAAGCGTTATAAAATATGTGTAATTATTTCCTGAGCAAGCCCTTCCTCCTCCTCTCTCTGTCTCTCTGTCTCTTCTCTGTCTTCTCTCTCTCTCTCTGTCTCTATCTCTCTGCCTATTTCTCTCTCTCTCTCTCTCTGCCTGTCTCTCTCACTGTGTCTGTCTTCTGTCTTACTCCCTTTCTCTGCCTGTCTGTCTCTCTCTCTCTGCCTATCTGTCTGTCACTGTCTCTCCCTCTCTCCCTGTCTGTCTGTTTCTCTCTGTCTCTGTCTCTGTTTCTGTTTGTTTCTCTCTGTCTCTCTCTCTCCATCTCTGTCTGTCTCTCTCTTTCTTTCTCTCTGTCTCTGTCTGTCTCTCTCTGCCTGTCTCTCTCACTGTGTCTGTCTTCTGTCTTACTCTCTTTCTCTGCCTGCCTGTCTCTCTCTCTCTCTCTTTGTTTCTCTCTATCTCTGTCCGTCTCTGTCTTTCTCTGTCTGTCTCTTTGTCTGTCTATCTGTAACTCTCTTTCTTTCTCTGTCTCACTGTCTCTGTCTCTCTCTCTCTGTCTCTCTCACTGTGTCTGTCTTCTGTCTTATTCTCTTTCTCTGTCTGTCTGTCTGTCTGTCTGTCTGTCGGTCTCTCTGTCTCACTCTCTCTCCCAGTCTCTCTGTTTGTCTCTCTCTCTCTGTCTGTCTGGTTTTTTTTCTCTCTCTCTCTTTGCCTGTCTGTTTCTCTGTCTCTGTCTCTCTCTCTGCCTGTCTCTCTCTCTCTCTCTCTCTCTGTCTGTCTTCTGTCTTACTGTCTTTCTCTGCCTGTCTGTCTGTCTGTCTCTCTCTCTCCTTGTCTGTTTCTTTCTCTGTCTCCATCTGTCTCTCTCTCTTTCTGTCTGTTTCTCTCTCTCTCCCTCTGTCTGTCTCTGTCTTTCTCTCTCTGTCTCTTTCTCTCTGTCTGTCTCTCTCTTTCTCACTGTTTCTCCATCTGTCTCTTTCTCTCTTTCTTTGTGTGTGTGTGTCTGCCTTCTGTCTTACTCTCTTTCTCTGCCTGTCGGTCTTCCTGTCTGTCTGTCTCTCTCTCTCTGTCTGTCTCTCTCTCTTTCTGTCTCTATCTTTCTTTCTGTTTCTCTCTCTGTCCATCTCTGTCTTTCTCTGTGTCTTTATCTGTCTGTCTCTCTCTTTCTGTCTTTCTCTCTTTGTGTATCTTTGTGTCTCTCTGTCTGTCTCTCTGTGTCTCTGTCTCTGTCTCTCTCGCTTGCTCTCTGGCTCTCGCTATCTCCCACCCTCTCTTTCTTTGCAAAATAAGTTCAAGTACATCTAATCTAATCCATTACCACGGCCTGAATTCTTAACTTTAGACATCCCAGATATGATCTCCCTACAGAATGCTGTAAAGAACTGGTGAGTTGATTTCTGGACTTGGATACCTCATAGATACTACATATTAATAAAGATCCAACCCTAAAATCTGGGGTTGTGTCTCCCTCGACTGTCTCAAAAAGGCATACCTCTGTTCACCTAGGATGCTGGGAGGGTTTTCTCAATGTGCCTCTGCTCGTGTCCTACATGACCTGTGACCGAGCCCTGTCCCTTCTGTCTCAAATATGTATCTGCAAACACTTCTTTCCATTTCCACAACTACCCACAGCCCATTGTGGAACCACTGGCTCTTTGAAAAAAATCCCAGAAGTGGCTTTGGCTTTTTGGCTAGGAGGCCTAAACTTTAACGTAGCTTTTTCCAATTCTGTGAAGAAAGTCACTGGTAGCTTGATGGGGATGGCAAAGGGATCTAGAACTAGAACTAGAAATACCATTGACCCAGCCATCCCATTACTGGGTATGTACCTAAAGGACTCTAAATCATGCTGCTATAAAGACACATGCACATGTATGTTTATTGTGGCACTATTCACAATAGCAAAGACTTGGAACCAACCCAAATGTCCAACAATGATAGACTGGATTAAGAAAATGTGGCACATATACACCATGGAATACTATGCAGCCATAAAAAATGATGAGTTCATGTCGTTTGTAGGCCCATGGATGAAATTGGAAATCATCATTCTCAGTAAACTATCACAAGGTTAAAAAACCAAACACCGCATATTCTCACTCTTAGGTGGGAATTGAACAATGAGAGCACATGGACACAGGAAGGGAAACATCACACTCACTCTGGGCACTTGTGGAGTGGGGGAGGGGGGAGGGATAGCATTAGGAGATATACGTAATGCTAGATGACGAGTTAATGGGTGCAGCGCACCAGCATGGCACATGTATACATATGTAACTAACCTGCACATTGTGCACCTGTCCCCTAAAACTTAAAGTATAAAAATAATTAAAAAATAAAAATAAAAAAAACCCTCACCAGTTACAAGGGGATGGGGGAGGCCGAGCCAGAATGACTTATTTACCCTGCCGACTCTGGGAAGCCCAGCCCCATGTGATCCATTGCAAACTGAGAATCACCTCATATTTGGAAAATGGATCCGCTCCCAAGTTCAGTGGAGGGATGTGGCATGTAGGACAAAGGACTCTCTTCCTTATGATTGGGTCTGCACAGTGGGGCCTGGGGCTGGAGCTCTCTCTGTGCAGACTGCTGATTCCCTCTACCTTGGGTTCCATCAGCCCCACCCTGGGACACGGACCTTGACAGATTCTGGCCCTTCCTGGCCCTTAAGTCGCTGTCAGAAACCCCATCTCGTGCTCAGATGCCCCAATGACTGTGGCTCACACCTCTCTGGAAACACTGGAAATCTCTCCTCTACGCATGGTCACCTAAAACCCCAGGAGCTCGGGACACCCGGCCGCCATCCACCTCACTGCTTTCGGGAGAGAATGCTGAGAGTCTCTTACCAACTCTCTCTTGACTTGAGTTATTCATGGGTGTGTGGTTAAGATGTAGAGGGACCAGATGTATTAACTCAGGCCGGGTGCTGGTGGCTCACGTCTGTAATCCCGACACTTTGGGAGGCCGAGACCGTAGGATCCCTTGAGGAATCACCTAACCCTGGGGAGGTTGAGGCTGCAGTGAGTGAGCCATAATGGTTTCACCTCACTCCAGTCTGGGCGAAAGACAGAGTGAGGCCCTGTCACAGGCCGGCAGGTAGGCAGGCAGACAGACAACAGCTGTATTATGTTCTTCTCAGGGTAGGAAGTAAAAATAACAGAATACAGCGCTTAATTTTTTTTTTTTTTTTTTGGGACGGAGTTTCACTCTTGTTGCCCACGCTGGAGTGCAACGGCACCATCACAGCTCACTGCAACCTCCACCTCCCATGTTCAAGCAATTCTCCTGCCTCAGCCTCCTGAGTAGCTGGGATTACAGGCACGTGCCACCACACCTGGCTGATTTTGTATTGTTGGTGGAGACGGCATTTCTCTATGTGGGTCAGGCGGGTCTCAAACTGGCCACCTCAGGTGATCTGCCCACCTCGGCCTCCCAAAGTGCTGGGATGACAGGCGTGAGCAATTGCGCCCACCCAGCTACGTTTTTTTTTTTTAATTTTCAATTTTAATCTATTTATTATTATTATTATTTTTTGAGACGGAGTCTCGCTCTGTTGCCCAGACTGGAGTGCAGTGGCGTGATGTCGGCTCACTGCAAGCTCTGCCTCCCGGGTTCAAGCCATTCTCCTGTCTGAGCCTCCCAAGTAGCTGGGACTACAGGCAACCGCCACCACACCTGGCTAATTTTTTGTATTTTGAGTAGAGACGGGGTTCAAGTGGTAGCCAGGATGGTCTCGATCTCCTGACCCCCGTGATCCGCCCGCCTCGGCCTCCCAAAGTGCTGGGATTACAGTCGTGAGCCACCGTGTCTGGCCTATTTATCTATTTATTAACTTTGTGTCCAGGTTATGAAGCCAGTTACTTTTTGTATTTTTTTAGAGACGAGGTTTCACCATGTTGCCAAGGCTCGGATCGAGGGATCCACCTTCCCTTGCCTCCCAAAGTGCGGGGATGACAGGCTTGAGCCTACCTCGCCCAGCTCCCCCCCTTCCCCCCCCAGCTTATCCCTCAAGTGCCCGAGGCCGAGCGGTGGTGTGTGGTTTCCACCCCCCGCGCCCCCTCCTCCGGTCGCCGCCACAGTGTTCGCAAGTGCGTCCTGAGGGAGCTCGTTGGTGTGGGGGTCGAGGCGGTTGAGATGCGTCCCCCCCACGTGGGGAAGGGTGCCGCCTGGTCTGGCGAGTGCAGGTCTCGTGCTCCCCTCTGGCGGGTGCGTGCGGGCCGTGTGAGCGATCGAGGTGGGCTTGGGCAGGTGACGCGTGCACCGGCCGGCCACCGAGGGGCTACTGTTCTGCCTCTGACAGGTTGTGTGTGGGTTTACTTGGAGGTGCTTTGCCTGGGAGAAAGGAGGCTGGGGGACGGGGGAGCTCTTGGGGGATTGCGCCCACGTGCAGTGGCCAGGCCCCCCGCCCAGACCACGAAGGCTCAAGGTTGCCGCAAGCAGATTTTTCCTGGTACCGCGGGCCCCCTCCCTTCCCCAGGCATCCCTGAGCGCCTCTGCGGGCCCGAGGAGGGGCGACTGGCGGGTAGGGAATGTGACCCACCCTTGGTGAGAAAGCCTTTTCTAGCGATCCGAGAGGTGTGCCTTTGGGGTACCAGATTCTCCGGCCTGCCACTTCTCTCTGCTTTATGATAGCGCTGCCATAGCAACTCGCTTGGAGAGGACCCTCCTCCACTTCCCCCTCGACGGGGTGAGTGGGGGAGAGCGAGGGTTCCACCGGCCTCCGCGGTGGGGACCGAGGGTGGCTCATTGCCTACCGTGTGGCCCGTGCCTCCCCCTTCCGAGTCGGGGGAGAATCCCGCCGGGACGGGCCGGCGTCCTAGCGCTTGGAAGTCTGCGCGAGCGGTGGCTGTGCCCGGCATTCCATCCGGCACATGAACTGCTCTGCTGTGAGACGGCTCTCTGCCCGCTCCCGTGGGGACCAGCGACCGGGGCCGACGACCGCGTTTGCATGGAACGGGTTTGGGCCACCTGGCCCTGGGAAGCATCCCAAGTGGGGGGCTTGACCAGGTTGGAGGATGGACAAGAAACGAGCAACGTGGCCCTGGCATTGGGTTTGTGGCTGAGGTCGCTTCGGGGTCCCGATGGCGGGAACTAGGGCTCGAGAGGCGGGTCTCCGTGGGTGCCGAGGGCCGTCCGGCATCCCAGGCGGGGCGCCGCGGGACCTCCCTCGTGTCTGTGGTGGTGAGATCCCATGGCCGTGTTTTCCTGGTGGCCCAGCCGTGCCTGAGGTTTCTCCCCGAGCCGCCCCTCTGCGGGCTCCCGGGTGCCCTTGCCCTCGCGATCCCTGGCCTTGCCTGTCTGTGCAGCCTACCCCGCCCGCGGATCCTCTCTCCCCGAGTGGCTCACTGGCTTAGGCTGCGGTGGCCCCGTCTGGGACCAAACCCGGCTCTGCCTTGTGGGGCGCCGCCGCCGGCCACTGGTTGGCCCGTTGTACCTGTCCCCGGGCGCGCGCCTTCAGGACCAGGTCGGCGGCGCCCCGCGTGGGCCTGGTGGGCGCCCGGAGGGTTTGGAGTCGGCCTGCAGCGGGGGCAGGGAAGAGGGTTCCGTGGGCTGGCCGCGACTGCAGCGGCAGTGGGGGAGCCGCGGGCCTGCCAAAGGCCAGTCGGCCGCCCCAGGTACCGCGCGGGGCCACCTTCGTGCTTGGAGGCCGCTGACGATGAGACCCCAGGCACCGCGGTCCACCTCTCCTTCGCTGCCCAAACGTCGAGGCCGCCCCGCGCCCGCCACGTGCTAGTGGCCGCCGGTCCCTTGCGGCTGCCACACACTGGTCGGGAGGTCTGTCTCCTGGCAGGTGGGCTCGAAGGGTCGGGAGTGATGAGCCCGTCACGGGGTGTTGTGTCGTGTGGGTGGATGGGATGTCCAGTTCGCCACCCCACCGCCCCCCTCCCACCGCCCCGCGCTGCTCTCTCCCTCCCACATTACCCGTCACCCGCCCTGCTGGGCCCATCCTCAAGACTGGGATGCCGGGCTCATCATCGTGAGGCCCGGAGGCCACTTTCTACCTACATGGTTGATCCTACCAGAACGATATGCTTGTCTCAAAGATTAAGCCATACATGTCTAAGTACGCAGGGCCGGTACAGTGAAACTGTGAATGGCTCATTAAATCAGTTATGGTTCTTTTGTTTGCTCGCTCCTCTCCTACTTGGAAAACTGTGGTAATTCTAGAGCTAATACATGCCAAAGGGCGCTGACCCCCTTCGCGGGGAAGATGCGTGCATTTAGCAGATCAAAACCAACCCAGTCAGCCCCTCTCCAGCCCCGGCTGGAGGGTCAGGTGCCACTGGCTTTGGTGACTCTAGATAACCTCAGGCCAATTGCACGCCCCCAGTGGCAGCGATGACCCATTGTAAAGTCTGCCCTATCAACTTTCGATGGTAGTCGCTGTGCCTACCATGGTGACCACGGGTGACAAGGAATCAGGGTTCGATTCTGGAGAGGGAGCCTGAGAAATGGCTACCACATTCAAGGAAGGCAGCAGGCATGCAAATTACCCACTCCCTACTCGGGGAGGTAGTGATGAAAAATAACAATACAGGACTCTTTCGAGGCCCTGTAATTGGAATGAGTCCACTTTAAATCCTTTAACGAGGATCCATTGGAGGGCAAGTCTGGTGCCAGCAGCTGCAGTAATTCCAGCTCCAATAGCGTATATTAAAGTTGCTGTAGTTAAAAAGCTCGTAGTTGGATCTTGGGAGCGGGCGGGCGGGCGAGCCATGGCCCGTCCCCGCCCCTTGCCTCTTGGCGCCCCCTCGATGTTCTTAGCTGAGTATCCCGTGGCCCTAAGCTTTTACTTTGAAAAAGTTAGAGTTTTCAAAGCAGGCCCGGGCCGCCTAGATACCGCAGCTAGGAATGATGGAATAGAACCGCGGTTCTATTTTGTTGGTTTTTGGAACTGAGGCCATGATTAAGAAGGACGGCTGGGGGCATTCGTATTGCGCCACTACAGGTGAAATTCTTGGACCGGCGCAGTTCGGACCAGAGCGAAAGCATTTGCCAAGAATGTTTTCATTAACCAAGAACGAAAGTCGGAGGTTCGAAGACGATCAGATACCATCGTAGTTCCGACCATAAAAGATGCCGACTGGCGATGCGTGCGGCAGTGTTATTTTCATGACCCACTGGGCAGCTTCCAAGAAACCAAAGTCTTTGGGTTTTTGGGTTCCCGGGGGGAGTATGGTTGCAAAGCTGAAACTTAAAGGAATTGGTGGAAGGGCACCACCAGGAGTGGAGCCTGTGGCTTAATTTGACTCAACACGGGAAACCTCACCCGGCCCAGACACAGACAGGATTGACAGACTGATAGCTCCTTCTCAATTCCATGGGTGGTGGTGCATGGCCTTAGCTGGTGGAGTTATTTGTCTGGTTAATTCCGATAACGAACGAGACTCTGGCATGCTAACTAATTACGTGACCCACAAGCGGTCGGTGTCCCCCAACTTCTTAGATGGATAAGTGGCATTCAGCCACCCGAGATTGAGTAATAACAGGTCTGTGATGCCCTTAGATGTCCGGGGCTGCACGTGCGCTACACTGACTGGCTCAGCGTGTGCCTACCATACGTGGCAGACGTGGGTAACCTGTTGAATACCATTGGTGATGGTGATCGGGGATTGCAATTATTCCCCATGAACGAGGAATTCCCAGTAAGTGTGGGTCATAGGCTTGTGTGAAGTCCCTACCCTTTGTACACACCGCCAGTTGCTACTACTGATTGGATGGTTTAGTGAGGCCCTCAGAGCAGCCCCGCCGGGTCAGCCCACTGCCGTGGCCGAGCACTGAGAAGACAGTCGAACTTGACTATCTAGAGGAAGTAAAAGTCGTAACAAAGTTTCTGTAGGTGAACCTGTGGAGGGATCATTAACGGAGCAGAATGAAGCCACAGAGGCGCCAACGTGTCCTTCCTCCTTGGCCGACCGTGTTCCCCGTGCAGCACGTGTGCTGGTGGGGTTGTGCCCTTTGTTTGTTGCACGGCCCCGCCTGCCCCGAGAGCAGGAGAACTCGGGAGGGAGAGAGGGGGTAGAGAGAGACACGCGTGCGGGGACGAAACTGTGTGTGCGTGTCGTGGGGTGGGCTGGATGGCTCGCCGGCCTGGTGAGCAGTGGGGAGCGGTCCCCTGCCATGGCCCCCACGTGTGTGTTGGCAGGCACGGGGTGGTTCTCAGCGTCACGGTGGGGTGTGGGTCTCTGTGCCCTCCCTGCCGAGGCCGTCGTCCCGCCCTGTCCTGCCGGCTCGGCCCCATCTTGCCTGCTCCTGTCGGGGCTGGCCGGGTTCCCATCGCTGCCACTGGCACCATCATCGCCTCTGCCACACCGCGCCACTGGGCTCGGCCCGGCCCGCTGGCTCTCCCCAGCCTTCCCACTAGGGCTTCTCGAGGGTAGGGGGCCGGACGCCAGTACCCCGCTCCTTGTCCGCCCCTGCCATCCAGGTACCTAGTGCGTTCTGGAGCGGAGTTTTAAGGACCCCTTGGGGGGTCACCTGTCCATCTGTGGGTCGGGTGTCGTGGGCGCACGGGGGAGTCCATTCGGGAGGGGCCCGCCCCTCCATCACCTCCCCCGCCGACTCCGTCTCCCCGGCCGGCCGGGGCTGTGCCGCTCTCGCGTGTCGCCGCTGACGCTGGTATGGGCTTTTCCCAGTGGCCGTCACGCTATCGCGTGCATGCTGCGCATGTGGCTTGTGCCCCACGCTGTGGGGGCAGGAACCCCTTGGTGCCCGTAGGGTGGTGTCAGCATTCGCCCCCCCCAACCCCCGTGGTTGGCACCACCTCCCTGTGTTGTGAAACCTTCTGACCCCTTTCTGGAGGCTCATCCCCTTGCTGTCTGACTGGCCGGTCTGAGGTAACCCCTCTGGAGGACGTGCTGTGCCAGGTGGGCCTCACATTGTTGGGAGCACCCTAGCCAAATTGACCTTGTATGACTTTTAGCGGTGGATCACTCAGCTTCTGCATTGATGAAGAATGCAGCTAGCTGTGAGAATTAATGTGAATTGCAGGGCACATTGATCATTGACACTTTGAATGGACTTGTGGCCCGGGTTCCTCCCAGGGTTATGCCTGTCTGAGTGTCACTTGCCAATCAATAGCCCCTGGGGGTGCCTCCGGGATCCTCAGGGTGCACGGTTGCGGGTTCCGTGGCAGGGCACGTCGGTGCCCTCCGTCCTCCCAAGTGCAGACCGGTGATGTCTGCCCTCCTCTCCTGCTGTGCCTGCCCCTTCCCCCTCCCCTCACAGGCCCGGTGTGGTCACGCGTTGGGTGGCGTGGGGAAGGGGGGCTCCTGGCTGTGAGGAAGAGAGAGAGGGCGGCACCACCACCCGCGAAAACATAGAGGGAATAGAGCTGGCTGGGGTCGAGTTCCCTTGGCCACCAACGCGGTCCGGTTTCCTCCCTCGGGGGCTCCCTCGTGCCTCACACAACTCGTTGTGCAGGGTTTGTTGACCCTGGTGGGGTGAAAGGTCCCATGCCATCATCGTCATCGTGTGTCATCAGTGGTGGGGGCTAGTTGGGCGGGAAGGCAAGTAGGAAGGGTCCACCGGGGAGAGGGTTGGGGAGCATGTCCCCGTCGCCGCAGTTCACCGCTTGCCCCTGGTGGCGGCCTGGCGACTGGCCGACCACCGCTCCAGCGCCCCTCCTCCCCAACACCCCTCTGAGGCACAGTCCTCCTCGCCAGCCTGCCCCTCGCCTGCCCGGCATGTGACGCGGTGTGTCCGGGACTGAAAGCCCACTGCACGGCCCGTCTGACAGCATTCCTGGCCGTGGTCCCAGGGTTCGTTTGCCCCTGGCAGTGACCCCCTGGGCGCTGCGGTGTCGTCCGCCATCACGCGCCCGCCTCCATCTCTTGACCGCACGGTGCCTGGCGCCCCATCCAGAGCTTCGACATTGGGGCAGGGTGGCACTGCCGCATCCTCAGACCAGTCCCCCACCTACATTTAGTACATAGGCAATCCCATGTAACTTAGCAAAGCTAGCAAGTACATAGACTTGGCACAGCCACTGTAGGGGTGGCCTCCCGGTAGCATCGTTAACATCAATTATAATTGTTAGGCAATCACTTAGTTTCACATTTCATTACCTGAGTTATACAAATGTGTAAAAAACTACAGTTTTAATAAAAGGGAGTAAAGGATAACATGAGTAATATTCACAATCTCTAGTTGGAAGAGGTAGTGTTTTCTCCGAAATGATGCATTTCTGGAGCAAGGTCATTTTGTGTTTGGTTTGTTAAATATCTATTTCCATTTTGACAAACCACTGGAAAAGCCCAGCTTCACAAGAACTCTCCATGAGAACGATCACACAAAAGAATACCCATAACACAAAATCAAAACAAGGGTGGTCCAGGCGTCACATTAAAGACTCATTACCAAGTTTTCTTAGAAGAGATAAAGAACACAAAGTTACTTTTATGTGATGGAAAACAGAGAGAAAGAGTAAATGGAAAAATAAATGTTAGGCAACAACAGTGAAAACCAAGCTGTGGAAAAAAATGAATGGAATTGTATTGTTTGGTATTGATTTCCTATCCTGATATCAGAAAGTATGGGAAAGAACAAAGCACATTTTTTTGAGACAAATAGAACATATAACAAATGAATGTTAAACACTATTTTACAGCACTTACAAAACTATCTGTGACTTGTTTTTCCCTTTAAAGATTCGATTTTGTACAATTACATTTATATAAATTATTGAAATAAAATTGTAAAGATGGAGAACAGACTATGGGGTTGCCAAGGGGAAGGTGTGGAGGAAAAAGTGTCAGAGTGTCAGCAAAGATCACAAGTTGGAGCCTGGTGGTGAGGCTACAGTTCTGTATCTTGACTGTGGAAGTGGTAGTTACAGAGATCTACACCACATAAAAATGCACAGAACACACGCACACACATACACACATACAAAAATGAATGTATACAAACGGTTGCGATCTGAGTAAACTTTCTGAATTGTACGTATGTCAGTTTCCAGGTTTTGATAATGCTCTATGGCTATGCGAGATGTCACCACTGGAATTAGTGAAGAGTACCTAAGACATCCCTGTACATTTTGCAACTTCCTGTGAATCTATAATTATTTCAAAAGAAATTTGAAAGTCATAGCAGACTTTCACTTCAAAGAGGAAAAAACTGAAGATTAATGAAATTGTTGAAGAACATCAAATACTCAACAATGTGTATGAGAGCTGTATTCTGTCCACTCGCAGCACAGCTGTCATTTAGCCTTTTCCTGACGTGCCCTGGAAGACTTGAGCTCCTCTTGGATTGCCAAGGCCAATAGTGTTTATTTGTTACTAGCTTTGTACTGGACCACCAAAAAATGAAAAGTGATTGAATAATCATTTATAATAATAACTAGTAATTTTACTTATAAAGAGACAATAGTGGTAACGAATTTAAATATTTAGGATAAAGAATAGGATCTTCATAAGACAATACTGGCAAAACTTAAAAAGAAAAAATAAGGAATCAGAAACATAAGTAGTTCAGTATTGTGAAAAAATTCTGGATCTGAGACACAAAAGAACAGAGATTGTATTGTGTTTCTGCTCCAAACCTGATGAATCACCTTAGGTGTGTTGTGTTTCTGCGCCAAAGCTGCTGAATCACCTTAAGCAATGCGTGCCCTTTCCCTGAATCTGTTTTCTTTTCTAAAAAATAAAGTGAGATAGATCATCTCCAAGGTCCCCCAAATATTCACATTTTCGGCTCCACATGAACTTCAGTTGAATTCCTAATTTCAGTGTGGATAATACATGTGTGCTGCACCACAAGCAGTGTGTCTAAATGCTCATGTTGGTGCTAAAAATTAATTATGAGCAGTTTGGAAATTCTGTTGTTGTAGAATCTGCAAAGGGATATTTGTGAGTGCTTTGAGGCCATGGTGAAAAAGGAAATACCTTCACATAAAAACTATAAAGAAGGTTTCTGAGAAACTGCTTTGTGATGTCTGCATTCATCTCACAGAGTTAAACGTTTCATTCCTTTAATCAGTCTGGAAACTCAGTTCTTGTGCAATCTGCAAAGTGATATTTGTGAGTGCTTTGAGGTCTATGGTGAAAAAGGAAATATCTTCACATAAAAACTAGACAGAAGCTTTCTGAGAAACTACTTTGTGACGTGTGCATTCATCTCACAGAGTTAAACCATTCTTTTGATTGAAAAGCTTGGAAACGGTGTTCTTGTAGAATCTGCAGAGGGATATTTGTGAGCGCTATGAAGCCTATGGTGAAAAAGGAAATAGCTTCACATAAAAACTAGAAAGAAGGTTTATGAGAAACTGCTTTGTGATGTGTGGGTTCATCTCACAGAGGTTAATGTTTCTTTTCATTGAGCAGATTGGAAACTCTGTTCTGATAGAATCCACAAAGGGATATTTGTGAGCAGTTTGAGGCCTATGTTGAAAAAGGAAATATCATCGCATAAAAACTTCACAGAAGTTTCTGAGAAACTTCCTGGTTATGTGTGCATTCATCTCACAGAGTTGAAATATTCTTTGGATTGAGCAGTTAGAAAACAGTATTTTTGTAGAATTGGCAAAGAGATATTTGTGAGCACTTGGAGGCCAATGGTGAAAAAGGAAATATCTTCACATAAAAACTAGACAGAAGCTTTCTGAGAAACTTTTTTGTGATGTGTGCATTCATCTCAGAGTTGAACCATTCTTTTGATTGAGTAGTTTGGTAACAGTCTTTTTGTAGAATCTGCAAAGAGATATTTGTGAGCGCTTTGAAGCCTATGGTGAAAGAGGAAATATTTTCACATAAAAACTAGAAAGAAGGTTTCTGAGAAACTCCTTTGTGATGTGTGAATGCATCTCACAGAGTTGAACCTTTCTATTGATTGAGCATTTTGGAAACAGTCTTTCTGAAGAATCTGCAAAGGGATATTTGTGAACACTTTGAGGCTTATGGTGAAAAAGGAAATATCTTCACATGAAAACTAGACAGAAGCATTCTGAGAAACTTCTTTGTGATGTGTGCACTCATCTCACAGAGTTGAACAATTCCTTTGATTGAGCAGTTCAGAAACAGTCTTTTTGTAGAATATGCAAAGGGATATTTGTGAGCACTTTGAGGCCTGTGGTGAAAAAGGAAATATCTTCACATAAAAACTAGACAGAAGGTTTCTGAGAAACTGCTCTGCAATGTGTGCATTCATCTCACAGAGGTAAACGTTTCTTTTCATTTAGCAGATGGGAAACTCTTTTCTTGTAAAATCTGCAAAGGGATTTTCTTGTAAAATCTGCAGAAAAAGGAAATATCATCGCATAAAAACGTGACAGAAGTTTCTGAGAAAATTCCTGGCTATGTGTGCGTTCGTCTCACAGAGTTGAACGATTCTTTCAATTGAGCAGTTTGGAAACAGTATTTTTGTAGAATCAGCAAAGAGATATTTGTCAGCTCTCTGAGGCTTATGGTGAAAAAGGAAATATCTTCAATAAAAACTATAAGAATATTTCTGAGAAGCTGTTTTGCAAGGTGTGCATTCAACTCACAGAGATAAAAGTTTATATTCTTTGATGAGTCTGGAAACTCTGTTCTCGTAAAATCTGCAAAGGGATATTTGTGAGCAGCTTGAGGACTATGGTGAAAAAAGAAATATCTTCACATAAATACTAGACAGAAGATTTCAGAGAAACTTCTTTGTGATATGTGCATTCATCTCACAGAGTTGAACCATTCTTTTGAATGAGAAGTTTGGAAACAGTCTTTTCAGAGAATCTGCAAAGGGCTATTTTGAGCGCGTTGATAGGTATGGTGAAAAGGGAAACATCTTCACATAAAAACTGGACAGAAGCTTTCTGAGAAACTTCTTTGTGATGTGTGCATTCATTTCACAGAGTTGAACCTTTCTTTTGATTGAGCAGTTTGGAAAGAGTCCTTTTTTAGAATTTTCTAGAATCTGCAGAGGGATATTTGTGAGCCCTTTATGGCCTAAAGTGAAATAGGAAATATATTCACATAAAAACTAGACAGAAGCATTCTGAGAAACTACTTTGTGAAGTGTGCTTTCATCCCACAGAGCTGAATCTCTCTTTTGATTGAGGAGTTTGGAAACAGTCTTTTTGTAGAATATGGAAATGGATATTTGGAGCGCTTTGAGGCCTATGGTGAAAAAGGAAATATCTTCATATAAAAACTAGACAGAAGCATTCTGAGAAACATCTTTGTGATGTATGCATTCATCTCACAGAGTTGAACCTTTCTTCTGATTGAGGAGTTTCAAAACAGACATTTTGTAGAATCTGCAAAGGGATATTTTTGAGCCCATTGAGGCCTATGGTGAAATAGGAACTATCTTAACATAAAAACTAGTCAGAACATTTCTGAGAAACTTCTTTGTGATGTGTGCTTTCATCTCACGAAGTTGAACCTTTCTTTTGATTGAGCAGTTTGGAAACACACTTTTTGTATAATCTGCAAATGGATATTTGGAGCACTTTGAGGACTATGGTGAAAAAGGAAATATCTTTACATAAAAACTAGAAAGCAACATTCCATGAAACTTCTTTGTGATGTGCGATTTCATCTCACAGAGTTGAACCTTTCTATTCATTGAGGAGTTTGGAAACCATCTTTTTGTAGAATATGCAAATGGATATTTGGAGCAGTTTGAAGCCTTGCTGAGAAAGGAAATATCTTCACATTAAAAGTAGATAGAAACATTCTGAGAAACTTCTCAGTGACATGTGCATTTACCACACAGAGCTGAACCTTTCTTTTTATTGAACAGTTTGGAAACAGTGTTTTTGTAATATCTCCAGAGGGATGTTTGTGAGTGGTTTGAGGCTTATGGTGAAAAAGGAAATATCTTCACATAAAAACTAGACAGAAGCTTTCTGAGAAACTTCTTTGTGATGTGTGAATTCATCTCACAGTTTTGAACCTTTCATTGGATTGAGCAGTTTGGAAACAATCCTTTTGAAGAATCTGCAAAGGTATATTTCTGAGCCCATTGAGGACTATGGTGAAATATGAAATATCTTCCCATAAAAACTAGACCGAAGGTTTCTAAGAAACTTATTTGTGATGTGTGCTTCCGTCTCACAGAGTTGAACCTCTCTTTTGATTGAGCAGTTTGTAAACACTCTTTTTGTAGGATCTGCAAATGGATATTTGGAGTGCTTTGAGGCCCATGGTAAAAAAGGAAATATCTTCACATAAAAACTAAATGGAAGCTTTCTGAGAAACTTTTTTTGTGATGTGTGCATTCATCTCACAGAGTTGAACTATTCTTTTGATTGAGCAGTTGGAAACTGTCTTTTCATAGAATAAACAAATGTATATTTGGAGCAGTTTAGGCCTATGGTGAAAAAGGAAACTTCTTCACATAAAAACTAGACAGAAGCATTCTGAGAAACTTCTTTGTGATGAGAGATTTCATCTCACAGAGTTTAACCTTTCTTTTCATGGAGCAGTTTGGAAACAGTCTTTTTCTACAATCTGCAAAGGGATATTTCTGAGCCGTTTGAGGCCTATGGTGAAAAAGAAATATCTTCCCACAAAAACTAGACAGAAGCATTCTTAGAAACTACTTTGTGATGTGTCCATTCATCTCACAGAGTTGAAACTTTCTTTTGATTGAGCAGTTTGGTAACAGTATTTTTGTAGCAACTGCAAAGGTATATTTGTGAGCCCTTTATGGCCAATGGTGAAATAGGAAATATCTTCACATAAAAACTAAACAGTAGCTTTGTGAGAAACTTCTCTGTGATGTGTGCTTTCATCTCACAGAGTTGAACATTTCCTTCGATTGAGCAGATTGGAAGCAGTCTTTTTGTACAACCTGAAAATGGATATTTGGAGCGCTTTGAGGCTTATGGTGAAAAAGGAAATATCTTCACATAAAAATCAGACAGAAGCATTCTGAGAAACTTCTTTGTGACGTTTGCATTCATCTCACACAGTTGAACATTTCTTTGATTGAAGATTTGGAAACAGTATTTTTGTAAAATCTACAAAGGGATAATTGTTAACCCTTTGAGG
The DNA here is from genome assembly GCF_000001405.40 of Homo sapiens. NCBI lineage: Eukaryota > Metazoa > Chordata > Mammalia > Primates > Hominidae > Homo > Homo sapiens. Next base: position 29,290,183 of record NC_000020.11, on the reverse strand, counting down.
CCTATGGTGAAGTAGGAAATATCTTCATATAAAAACTACACAGAAACAGTCTGAGAAACTTTTTTGTGATGGGTGCATTCATCTCACAGAGTTGAAGCTTTCTTTTGCTAGAGCAGTTTGGAAATACTCCTTTGTAGAATCCCCAAAGGGATAATTCTGAGCACATTGATGCCTTTGGTGATATAGGAAATATCTTCACATAAAAGCTAGACAGAAGCTTTCTGAGAAACTTCTTTTAAATGAGTGCTTTCATCTCAAAGGTTTGAGCGTTTTTTTTTTGATTGAGCAGTTTGGAAGCACTCTTTTTGCAGAATCTGCAAATGGATAATTGAAGCTCTTTGAGACCTATGGTGAAAAAGGAAATATCTTCACGTAAAAACTAAACAGAAGCTTTCTGAGAAACTACTTTGTAATGCATGCATTCATCTCCCAGTGTTGAAACTTTCTTTTGATTGAGCAGTTTGTACACGTCTTTTTGTAGAATCTGCAAATGGATATTTGTAGTGCTTTGAGGCCAATGGTGAAAAAGAAAATATCTTCACAAAAAAACTAGAAAGAAACATTCTGAGAAACTTCTTTGTGAGGTGTACTTTCATCTCACAGAATTGAACCTTTCTTTTCATTGAGCAATTTGGAAACAGACTTTTTGTAGAACCTGGAAATGCACATTCGGAGTGCTTTGAGGCCTATGGTGAAAAAGGAAATATCTTCAGGTAAACATTAAACTGAAGGTTTCTGAGAAACTTCCTTGTGGTGTGTGCATTCATATCACAGAGCTGAACCTTTCTTTTGATTTAGCAGTTTGTAAACAGTCTTTTAGTAGAATCTGCAAATGGATACTTGGAGTGGTTTGAGGCCTATGGTGAAAAAGGAAATATCTTCACAAAAAAATTAGAAAGATACATTCTGAGAAACTTCTTTGTGATGTGTGCTTTCACCTCACAGAGTTGAGACTTTCTTTTCATTGAGCAATTTGGAAACGTCTTTTTGTAGAATCTGCAAATGGATATTTGGAATGTTTTGAGGACTATGGTGAAAAAGGAAATATCTCACATAAACACTAGACAGAAGCATTCTGAGAAACTTCTTTGTGTTGTGTCCATTCATCTCACAGAGTTGAACCTTTCTTTGGATTGAGCACTTTGGAAACAATCTTTTTGTAGAATCTGCAAAAAAATATTTGTGAGCCCTTTATGGCCCATGGTGAAACAGGAATTATCCTCACAGAGAAACTAGACAGAAACTTTCTGAGAAACTTCTTTGTGATGTGTGCTTTCACCTCACAGAGTTGTACCTTTCTTTTGATTGAGCAGTTTGGAAACAGTCTTTTTGTGGAATCTGTAAATGGATGTTTGGAGTGCTTTGAGACCTATGGTGAAAAAGGAAATACCTTCACATAAAAACTAGACAGAAGCATTCTGAGAAACATCTCTGTGATGTGTGCATTCATCTGATAGAGGTGAACTTTTCTTTGATGGAGCAGTTTGCAAACAGTCATTTTGTAGAATCTTCAATGGGATATTTCTGAGCCCATTGAAGGATAGGGTGAAAAAAATATCTTCACATAAAAACTAGACAGAAGCATTCTGATAAACTTTTCTGTGATGTGTCCATTCATCTCACAGAGTTGAAACTTTCTTTGGATTGAGCAGTTTGCAAACAGTCTTTTTGTAGAATCTGCAAAAAATATTTGTGAGCCCTATATGGCCCATGGTGAAATAGGGAATATCTTCACATAAAAACTAGTCAGCTTTCTGAGAAACTTCTTTGTGAGGTGTGCTTTTGCGTCATGTGTTGAACCTTTCTTTTGATTGAGCATTTTGGAAACACTCTTTTTGTAGAATCTGCAAATGGGTATTTGGAGGGCTTTGAGGCCTATGGTGAAAAAGGAAATATCTTCACATAAAAACTGGACAGATGCATTCTGATAAACTTCTTTGTGATATGTGCATTCATCTCATAGAGTTGAATCTTTCTTTGGATTCAGCAGTTTTCTAAACAGTCCTTTTGTAGAATCTGCAAAGGGATATTTCTGAGCCCATCGAGGCCTATGGTGAAAAGGGAAATATCTTCAAATAAAAAGAAAACAGAAGCTTTCTGAGAAACTTCCTTGTGATGTGTGCATTCTTCTCACAGTGTTGAAACTTTCTTTTGATTGAGCAGTTTGGAAACAGTCTTTTTGTAAAATCTGCAAAGGGATATTTCTGAGCCGTTTGAGGCCTAAGGTGAAAAAGAAATATCTTCACATAAAAACTCGACAGAAGCATCCTGAGAAACTTCTTTCTGATGTGTGCATTCATCTCACAGAGTTGAACATTTCTTTTGTTTGAGCAGTTTGGAAACAGTCTATTTTTAGAATATGCAAACGGATATTTGTGAGCCCTTTACAACCTATGATGAAATAGGAAATACTTTCACATAAAAACTAGACAGAATCTTTCTGAGAAAATGCTTTGTGATGTGTGCTTTCATCTCACAGATTTGAACTTTTTTTTTTTGATTGAGCAGTTTCAAAACAGTCTTTTTGTAGAATCCACAAATGGATATTTGCAGTGCTTTTAGGCGTATGGTGAAAAAGGAAATATCTTCACAAAACACTAAAAAGGAGCTTTCTGAGAAAGTTCTTTGTGATGCGTGGATTCATATCACAGAGCTGAACCTTTCTTTTGATTGAGCAGATTGGAAACAGTCTTTTTGTACAATCAGCAAATGTATATTTCTGAGCCGTTTGATGCCTATGGTGAAAAAGAATTATCTTCACATAAAAATTAGATGGAATCATTCTGAGAATATTTTTTGTGATGTGTGCATTCATCTCACAGAGTTGAACCTTTCTTTTCATGGAGCAGTTTGGAAACAGTCTTTTTGTAGTATCTGCAGAGAGATATTTGTGAGCGCTTTAAGGACTATGGTGAAAAAGGAAATATCTTCACATAAAAACTAGACAGAAGCATTCTGAAAAACTTCTTTATTATTTGTGCATTTATCTCACAGAGATGAATCTTTCTTTTTATTGAGCAGTTTGGAAACGTCTTTTTGTACAATCTGCAGAGGGATATTTCTGAGCGGTTTGAGGTTTATGGTGAAAAAGTAGTATCTTCACATAAAAATTAGACAGAAGCATTGTGAGAAACTTCTTTTTTATGTGTGCATTCACCTCACAGATTTGAAACTTTCTATTCATTGAGGAGTTCGGAAACAGTCTTTTTGTAGAATCTGATACGGATATTTGTGAGTCTATTGAGGCCTGTGGTGAAATAGAAAATATCCTCACATAAAAACTAGACAGAAGCTTTCTTAGAAACTTCTTTTTGATGTGTGCCTTCATCTCACAGAGTTGAACCTTTCTTTTGATTGAGCAGTTTGGAAACAGTCTTTTTGTGGAATCTGCAAATGGATGTTTGGAGTGCTTTGGAGCCTATGGTGAAAAAGTAAATATCTTCACATTAAAACTAGACAGAAGTATTCTGAGAAACTTCTTTGTGACATGTGCATTCTTCTCACGTTGTTGAGCATATCTTTTGATTTAGCAGGTTGGAAACTGTCCTTTTGTTGTATCTGCAGAGGGATATTTGTGAGCGGTTTGAGGCCTATGGTGAAAAAGGAAATACCATCACATAAAAACTAGACAGAAGCATTCTGGGAAACTTCTCTGTGATGTGTGCATTCAACTCACACAGGTGAACCTTTCTTTGGATTGAGAAGTTTGGAAACACTTTTTGTAGAGTCTGTAAGTGGATATTTGGAGCACTTTGAGGCCTATGGTGAAAAAGGAAATATCTTCACATAAAAACCAGACAGAAGCATTCTGAGAAACTTCTTTGTGGTGGGTGTATTCATCTCACAGAGTTGAACATTTCTTTGGATGCAGCAGCTTGGAAACAGTCTTTTTGTAGTATCTGCAGAGGGATATTCATGAGCAGTTTATGGCCTATGATTAAAAACGATATATCTTCACAAAAAAACTCGACAGATCCGTTGTGAGAAACTTCTTTCAGATGTATGCATTCATCTCACAGAGTTGAACCTTCTTTGGATTGAGCAGTTTTCTAAACAGTCCTTATGTAGAATCTGCAAAGGGATATTTGGAGCGCTTTGGGGCCTATGGTGAAAAAGGAAATATCTTCACATGAAAGCTAAACAGAAGCTTTCTGAGAAACTTCTTTATGATGTGTGCATTCATCTCACAGTGTTGAAACTTTCTTTTTATTGAGCAGTTTGGAAACAGTCTTTTTGTACAATCTGCAAAGGGATATTTCTGAGCCATTTGAGGCCTATGGTGAAAGAAAAAAATATTCTCATGATGGTGGGCGCCTGTAGTCCCAGCTACTCGGGAGGCTGAGGCAGGAGAATGGCGTGAACCCGGGAGGCGGAGCTTGCAGTGAGCCGAGATTGCGCCACTGCACTCCCGCCTGGGCCACAGAGCGAGACTCCATCTCAAAAAAAAAAAAAAAAAAAAAACTAGACAAAAGCATTCTGAGGAACTTCTTTGTGATGTGTGCATTCATTACACATATTTGAACCTCTCTTTTGATTGAGCAGTTTGGAAACAGACTTTTTGTAGAAGATGCAAAAGGATATTTGTGAGCCCTTTCAGGCCTATGGTTAAATAGGGAATATCTTCACATAAAAACTGGACAGAAACTTTATGAGAAACTTCTTTGTGATGTGTGCTTTCATTTCACAGAGTTGAACTTTTCTTTGATTGAGCAGGTTGGAAACAGTCTTTTGTAGAATCTGCAAGTGGATATTTACAGCGTTTTAGGCCTATGGTGAAGAGGAAATATCTTCACATAAAAACTAGACAGAAGCATTCTGAGAAACTTCTTTGTGATGTGTGTATTCATGTCACAGGGTTGAAACTTTCCTTGGATTGAGCAGTTTGGAAAGAGTCCTTTTGTAGAATCTGCAAAGGGATATTTGTGAGCCCATTGAGGCCTATGGTGAAATAGGAAATGTCTTCACATAAAAACTAGACAGAAGCTTTCTAAGAAACTTCTTTGTGATGTGTGTTTTCTTCTTACAGAATTGAAACTTTCTTTTGATTGAGCAGTTTGGAAACAGTCTTTATGTCCAATCTGCAAAGGGATATTTCTTAGACGTTTGAGGCCTATGGTAAAAAAGAAATATCTTCACATAAAAACTAGACAGAAGCTTTCTGAGAAAGTACTTTGTGATGTATCCATTCATCTCATAGAGTTGAAATTTTCTTTTGATGGAGAAGTTTGGAAACAGTCTTTTTGTAGATTCTGTAAAGGGATATTTGTTATCCCTTTATGGCCTAAGGTGAAATAGGAAATATCTTCACATAAAAACTAGACAGAAGCTTTCTGAGAAACTTATTTGTGATGTGTGCTTTCATCTCACAGAGTTGAAACTTTCCTTTGTTAGAGCAGTTTGGAAAGAGGCCTTTTGTAGGATCTGCAAAGGGATATTTTTGAGCCCACTGAGGTATATGGTGAAAAAGGAAATATCTTCACATTAAAACTAGAAAGAAACCGTCTGAGAAACTTCTTTGTGATGTACACTTTCACTTCACATGTTGAACCTTTTCTTTGATTGAGCAGTTTGGAAAGAGTCTTTTTGGACAATCTGCAAAGGCATATTTCTAAGCCCATTGAGGCCTATGGTGAAATATGAAATATCTTCACATAAAAACTAGACAGAAGCTTTCTGAGAAACTTATTTTTGATGAGTGCTTTCATGTCACAGAGTTGAACCTTTCTTTTGATTGAGCAGTTTGGAAACACTCTTTTTGTGTTATGTGCAGAGGGATATTTGTTAGCAGTTTAAGGCCTATGGTGAAAAAGGAAATATCTTCACATGAAAACTACACAGAAGCATTCTGAGAAATTACTTTGTGATGTTTGCATTCATCTCCCAGAGTTGAATCTTTCTTTTGATTGAGCAGTTTGGAAACACTCTTTTTGTAGAATCTGCAAAGGGATATTTGGAGCGCTTTGGGGCCTATGGTGAAAAAGGAAATATCTTCACATAAAAACTAAACAGAAGCGTTCTGAGAAAAGTCTTTGTTTCTCAGAAAGAGAGTGTGCATTCATCTCACAGTGTTGAACCTTTGTTTTGATGGAGCAGTTTGGAAACAGTCTTTTTGTACAATCTGCAACAGGATATTGCTGAGCGGTTTGAGGCCTATGGTGTAAAAGAAATGTCTTCACATAATAACTAGACAGATGCACTCTGAGAAACTTCTTTGTGATGTGTCCATTCCTTGCACAAAGTTGAACCTTTCTTTTCATTGATCAGTTCTGAAACAGTCTTACTGTACAATCTGCAAAGGGATATTTTTCAGCCCTTTGAGGCCTAAAGTGAAATAGGAAATATATTCACATAAAAACTAGACAGAACATTCTGAGAAACTTATTTCTGACGTGTGTATTAATCTCACAGAGTAGAACCTTTCTTGTGAATGCACAGTTCAGAAAGAGTCTTTTTGTACTATCTGCAGAGGGATATTTGTGAGAGGTTTGCGGCCTATGGTGAAAAAGGAAATATCTTCACAGAAAATTAGACAGAAGCATTCTGAGAAGCTTCCTTATAATGGGTTCTTTCTTCTCACAGCATAGAAGCTTTCTTTTGATTGAGCAGATTGGAAACAGTCTTTTCATAGTATCTGCAGTGGGATATATCTGAGCGTTTTGAGGTCTATGGAGATAAAGAAATATCTTCACATAAAAACTATACAGAAGCATTCCGAGAAACTTTTTTGTGATGTGTGCACTTATCTCAAAGAGTTGAACCTTTCTTTTGATTGAGCAGTTGGAAACAGTATTTTTGTAGAATCTGCAAAGGGATATTTGTGGGCCCTTTGAGGCCTATGGTGGAATAGGAAATATCTTCACATGAAAACTAGACAGAAGTTTTATGCGAAACAGCTTTGTGATGTGTGCTTTCATCTCACAGAGTTGAACATTTCTTTTGATTGAGCAGTTGGGAAACAGTCTGTTTGTGGAATCTGCAAAGGTATTTTTTTTCTTATTTTTTATTTATTTTTATTTTTATTTTTATTTTATTATTATTATACTTTAAGTTTTAGAGTACATGTGCACAATGTGCAGGTTAGTTACATATGTATACATGTGCCATGCTGGTGTGTTGCACCCATTAAGTTGTCATTTAGCATTAGGTATATCTCCTAATGCTATCCCTCCCCCCTCCCCACACTCCACAACAGTCCCCAGAGTGTGATGTTCCCCTTCCTGTGTCCATGTGTTCTCATTGTTCAATTCCCACCTATGAGTGAGAATATGCGGTGTTTGTTTTTTTGTTCTTGTGATAGTTTACTGAGAAAGATGATTTCCAATTTCATCCATGTCCCTACAAAGACATGAACTCATCATTTTTTATGGCTGCATAGCTTCAAAGAGAATAAAATACCTAGGAATCCAACTTACAAGGGACATGAAGAACCTCCTCAAGGAGAACTACAAACCACTGCTCAATGAAATAAAAGAGGATACAAAGAAATGTAAGAACATTCCTTGCTCATGGGTAGGAAGAATCAATATAGTGAAAATGGCCATACTGCCCAAGGTAATTTATAGATTCAATGCCATCTGCATCAAGATACCAATGACTTTCTTCACAGAATTGCAAAGGGATACTTGAGAGCCCTTTGAGGTCTATGGTGAAACAGGAAATATCTTCATATAAAAACTAGACAGAAGCTTTCTGAGAAACTTCTTTGTGGTGTGTTCTTTCATTTCAGAGAGTTGAACCATTCTTTGGATTGAGCAGTTTGGAAACAGTCTTTTCATATAATCTGCAAAAGGATATTTAGTGGGCTTTGAGGCCTATGATGAAAAAGGAAATATCTTCACATGAAAACTAGACAGATGCTTTCTGAGAAACTTTTTTTATGATATTTGCATTCAACTCACAGAGTTGAACCTTTCTTTTCATTGAGCAGTTTGGAAATAATGTTTTTGTTCAATATGCAAAGGGATATTTCGGAGCGGTTTGAGCCCTATGGTGAAAAAGAAATATCTTCACATAAAAACTAGACAGAAGCATTATGAGAAACTTATTTGTGATGTGTTCATTCATCTCACAGAGTTGAAACTTTCTTTAGATAGAGGAGCTTGGAAGGAGTCTTTTTATAAAATCTGCAATGGGATATTTGCGAGCACTTTGAGGCCTACGGTGAAATAGGAAATATCTTCACATGAAAAGTAGACAGAAGCATTCTCATAAACATCTTTTTGATGTGTGCGCTCATTACACAGAGTTAAAACTTTCTTTTGACTGAAAAGTTTGGAAACAGTCTTTTTGTAGAATATGCAAAGGGATATTTGTGAACCCATTGAGGCCTACGGTGAAATAGGAAATATCTTCACATAAAAACTAGACAGAAGCTTTCTGAGAAACTTCTTTTGGATGTATGCTTTCCTCTCACAGAGTTGAACCTTTATTTTGATTGAGCAGTTGGGAAGCTGTTTTCTGTAGAATCTGGAAAGGGATAATTTTGAGCCCTTTGAGGTCTGTGGTGAAACGGGAAATATCTTCACATAAAAACTAGACAGATGCTTTCTGTGAAACTTCTTTGTGATGTGTTCTTTCATCTCACAAAGTTGAACCTTTCTTTTGATTGAGCAGTTTGGAAACAGTCTTTTTGTAGAGTCTGCAAATGGATATTTGGAGCACATTGAGACAAGGTTGAAATAGGAACTGGCTTCACATAAAAACTAGACAGAAGCTTTCTGAGAAACTTCTTTGTGATGTGTGCATTCATCTCACACAGTTGAACTTTCCTTTGATTTAGCAGTTTGGAAACAGTATTTTTATAGAATCTGCAAGTAGATATTTGCAGCACTTTGAGGCCTATGGTGAAAAAGAAATATCTTCCAATAAAAATTAGACAAAAGATTTCTAAGAAAATTCTTTGTGATGTGTGCATTCATATCACAGAGATGAACCTTTCTTTTGATTGAGCAGTTTGGAAACAATCTCTTCATAGAATATGCAAATATATATTTGTAACACTATGAGGGCAGTGGTGGAAAAATTCCTCTCACAGAGTTGAAACTTTGTTTTGATTGAGCCGTTTTGAAACAGTCTTTTTGTAGAATCTGCAAGGAATAATTCTGAGCCCTCTGAGGCCTATTCTGAAAAAGGAAATATCTACACATAAAATCAGACAGAAGCTTTCTGAGAAACTTCTTTGTGATGTGTGCTTTCATATCACAGAGTTGAACCTTTCTTTTGATTGAGCAGTTTGGAAACAATCTTTTTGTAGAATCTGCAAATGGATATTTGGAGAGATTTGAGGCCTATGGAGAAAAAGGAAATATCTTCACCTAAAAACTAGACAGAAAGATTCTGAGAAACGTCTTCATGATGTGTGCTTTTATCTCACACAGTTGAAAGCTTCTTTTCATTGAGCAGTTTACAAACAGTCTTTTTGTAGAATCTGCAAAGGGATATTTGTGAGCAGTTTGAGGCCTATGGTGAAAAAGGTAATACCTTCACATAAAAACTAGACCAAAGCATTCTGAGAAACTTCTTTGTAATGTTTGCATTCACGTCACAGAATTGAACCTTTCTTTTCATTGAGCAGTTTGGAAACAGTCTCTTTGTACAATCTGCAAAGGGATATTTCTGAGCGGTTTGAGGCCTATGCTGAAAAAGAAATATTTTCATACCAAAACTAGACAGAAGCATTCTGAGAGTCTCCTTTGGGATGTGTGCATTCATCTTACAGATTTGAACATTTCTTTTGATTGAGGAGTTTGGAAAAAGTCTTTTTGTATAATCTGCAAAGGGATGCTTGTGAGCCCTTTGAGGCCTATGGTGAAAAAGGAACTATCTTCACATAAAAACTAACTAGACAGATGTTTCTGAGAAACTTCTTTATGATGTGTGCTTTCATCTCACAGAGTTGAACCTCTCTTTTGATTGAGCAGTTTGGAAAAAGTCTTTTAGTAGAATGTGCAATTGGATATTTGGAGCGCTTTGAGGCCTATGGTGAACAAGGAAATATCTTCACATAAAAACTAGGCAGAATCTTTCTAAGAAACTTCTTCATGATGTGTGCATTCATCTCACAGAGTTCAACATTTGTTTTGTTTGAGCAGTTTGGAAGCAGTCTTTTTGAAGGATTTGTAGAGGGATATTCATGAGCGGTTTGAGGGCTCTGAAGAAAAAGCAAATATTCACATAAAAGCCGGACAGAAGCATTGTGAGAAACTTCTTTGTGAAGTATACATTCGTCTCACAGTGTTGAAATTTTCTTTTGATTTAGCAGTTTGGAAACAGTCTTTTTCTAGAAACTGCGAAGTGATATTTGTGAGCCCTTTGAGGCCTATGGTGAAATAGGAAATATCTTCACATAAAAACTAGACAGAAACTTTTTGAGCATCTTCTTTTCTGATGTTTGATTTCATCTCACAGAATTGAACCTTTCTTTTGATTGAGTAGTTTGGAAACAGTCTTTTTGTAGAATCTGCATAGGGATATTGTGAGCAGATTGAGGCCTATCGTGATAAAGGAAATATCTTCACATAAAAACTAGTTAGAAGGTTTTTGAGAAACTTTTTGTGATGTTTGCATTCATGTCACAGAGTTGAATCTTTCTTTTCATTGAGCAGTTTGGAAACAGTCTTCTTATACTTTCTGCAATGGGATATTTCTGAGTGGTTTGAGGCCTATGCTGAAAAATAAATATCTTCACATAAAAACTAGACAGAAGAATTCTGACAAACTTCTTTTTGATGTGTGCTTTCATCTCACACAGTTGAAATTTTCCTTTGAACAGTTTGGAAGCAGAATTTTTGTTGAATCTGCAGAAGGATATTTTTGAGTGGTTTGAGGCCTATGATGAAAAAGAAATATCTTCACATAAAAACTAGATGGAAGATTTCTGAGAAACTTCTTTGTGATGCATGCATTCGTATCACAGAATTGAACCTTTTGTTTGATTGAGCACTTTGGAAACAGTCTTTTTGTAGAATATGCAGAGGGATATTTGTGAACGGTTTGAGGCCTACGGTGAGAAAGGAAATATCTTCACATAAAAACTAGAGAGAAGCCTTCTGAGAAACTTATTTATGATGTGTGCCTTCATGTCACAGAGTTGAACCTTTCTTTTCATTGAGCAGTTTGGCAAAAGTCTTTTTGTACAATCTGCAAAGTGATTTTTGTGAATGCTTTGAGACTTATGGTGACAAAGGAAATATCTTCACATAAAAACCAGAGAGAAATCTACTGAGAAACTTGTTTCTGATGTGTGCATTCATCACAGAAAGTTGAAAATTTCTTTTGATTGAGCAGTTTGGAAACAGTATTTTTGTAGGATCTGCCAAGGGATATTTGGAGTGGTTTGAGGCCTATGGTGAAAAAGGAAATTTGCCCTAATAAAATCTAGACAGAAACATTCTGAGAAACTTCTTTGTGATGTGTGCATTCATCTCACAGATTTGAAACTTTGCTTTGATTGAGCAGTTTGGAAACAGTCTTTTTGTAGATTCTGCAAAGGTGTATTTGTAGACTGTTTGAGGCCTATGGTGAAAAAGGAAATATCTTCACATAAAAACTAGACAGAAGCTTTCTGAGAAACTTATTTGTGATGTGTTCATGCACCTCACAGAGTTGAAACTTTCTTTTGATTGAGCAGTTTGGAAACAGTCTTTTTCTAGAATCTACAAAGGGATAATTGTAGGCAGTTTGAGGCACGTGGTCAAAGAGGAAATATCTTCACATTAAAACTAGACAGAAGCATTCTGAGATACTTCTTTGTGATGTGTGCATTCATCCCACAGAGTTGAACCTTTCTTTTGATTGAGCAGTTTGGAAACTGTGTTTTTGTAGAATCTGCATAAGGACATTTGTGTGCGCCTGAGGCCTATGGTGAAAAAGAAATATCTTCACATAAAAACTAGGCAGAAGCATTCTGAGAAACTACTTCATGATGTGTGCATTCATCTCAGAGAATTTAATCTTCGTTTTGATGGAGCACTTTGGAAGCAGTCTTTTTGTAGAATCTGCAAAGTGATATTTGTTTATGCTTTGAGGCTTATGGTGAAAAGGGAAATATGTTCACATAAAAAATAGACAGAAGCTTTCTGAGAAACTTCTTTGTGATGTGTGCGTTCACCTCATAGAGTTGAACCTTTCTTTTGGTTTAGCAGTTTGGAAACAGTCTTTTTGTAGAATCTACAAAGGGACATTTGTGAACACTTTGAGGCCTACTGTGAAAAAGGAAATATCCACAAATAAAATGTAGACAGAAGCTTTATGAGAAACTTCTTTTTGATGTTTGCATTCATCTCACAGAGTTGAACCTTTGTTTTGATTGAGGAGTTTGGAAACAATATTTTTCTAGAAACTGCAAAGGGACATTAGTGTGCATCTGAGGCCTATGTTGAAATAGGAAATATCTTCACATAAAAATTAGGCTGAAGCTTTCTGAGATACTTCATTGTGATGTGTGCATTCAGCTCACAGAGCTTGACCTTTATTTTCATTGAGCAGTTTGGAAGCAGTCATTTTGTAGAATCTGCAAAGTGATGCTTGTGAACGCTTTGATGCCTATGGTGAAAAAGAAAATATCTTCACATAAATGTTAGATACAAGCGTTCTGAGAAACTTCTTTGTGATATGTACATTCATCTCACATAGTTGAACAATTCTTTTGATTGAGCAGTTTGGAAACACTCTTTTTGTAGAATCTGCATGGAATATTTTTGAACACTTTGAGGCTTATGGTGAAAACAGAAATATCCTCACATTAAGACTAGACAGAAACTTTCTGATAAACTTCTGTGTGATGTGAGCATTTGGCTCTCAGAGTTAAAACTTTCTTTTGATTGAGCAGTTTGGAAACAGTCTTTTTGCAGATTCTGTGAAGGGATTTTTGTGAGCAGTTTGATGTCTATGGTGAGAAAGTAAATATCCACAAATAAAATCTAGACAGAAACTTTCTGAGAAACTTCTTTGTGATTTGTGCATTAATCTTAGAGTTGAACTTTCCTTTTGATGAAGCAGTTTGGAAACTGTATTTTTGTAGAATCTGCAAAGCGATGTTTGTGAAAGCTTAGAGGCTTATGGTGAAAAAGGAAATATCTTCACTTAAAAACTAGACAGAAGCATTCTGGGAAACTTCTTGGAGATGTGTACATTCATCTCGGAGATTTGAACCTTTATTCTGATTGAGCATTTTGGAAAGAGTCTTTATGTAGAATCTTCAAAGGGACATTTGTGAGTGCTTTGAGGTTTATGGTGAAAAAGGAAATATCTTCATATCACTAATAAAACCTAGACAGAAAATTTCTGAGAAGCTTCCTTGTGATGTGTGCATTCATCTCACAAAGTTGAAACTTTGTTTTGATTGAGCAGTTTGGAAACAGTCTTTTCGTAGAATCTGCAAAGAAATATTTGTGAACTCTTTGAGGCTTATGGTGAAAAAGGAAATATCTTCACATAAAAACTAGACAGAAAATTTCTGGGAAACTTCTTGCTTAAATATGCATTCGTCTCACAGAGTTGAACCATTCTTTTGATTGAGCAGTTTGGAAACAGTCTTTTTGTAGTATATGCAAAGGGATATATATATGTAGGCGGCCTAAGGACTATGGTGAAAAAGGAAATACCATCACATAAAAACTAGACAGAACATTTCTGAGAAATTTATTTGTGATGTGTGCATTCATCACACAGAGTTGAAATTTTCTTTTGATTGAGCAGTTTGGAAACAGTCTTTATGGAGCATCTACAAAGGGATATTTGTGAGTGGTTTGAGGCCTATGGTGAGAAAGAAAATATATTCACATAAAAACTAGACAGAAGCTTTCTGAGAAACTTCTTTGTGATGTGTGCATTGTAGTTTGGAAACAGTCTTTATGGAGAATCTACAAAGGGATATTTGTGAGTGGTTTGAGGCCTATGGTGAGAAAGGAAATATCTTCACATGAAAACCGGACAAAACTTTTGGAGAAACTACTTTGTGTTGTGTGCATTCATCTCACAGTGTGTAACCTTTCTTTAGATTGAGCAGTTTGGAAGCAGTCTTTTTGTAGATTCTGAAATGGACATTTCTGAACGGCTTGAGGCCTGTGGTGAAAAAGGAAATATCCACAAATAAAATCTAGACAGAAGAGTTCTGAGAAGCGTCTTGGTGATGTGTGCATTCAACTCACAAAATTGAAAGTTTCTTTGGATTGAGCAGTTTTGAAACAGTCTTTTTGTAGAATATGCAAAGTGAAATTTGTGAATGCTTTGAGGCTTATGGTGAAAAAGGAATTGTCTTCACATAAAAACTAGACAACACCTTTCTGAGAAACTTCTTTGTGATGTGTGCATTCATCTCACAGAGTGGAACCTTTCTTCTGATTGAGCAGTTTGGAAACAGTCTTTTTGAAAAATCTGCAGAGGGATATACGTAGGCGGTTGACACCTATCATGAAAAATGAAATGTCTTTACATAAAAATTAGACAGAATGATTCTGAGAATCTTCTTTGTGATGTGTGCATTCATCACACAGAGCTGAACATTTCTTTTGATTGAGCAGTTTGTAAGCAGTCTTTTTGAAGATTCTGCCAAGGGATATTTGTGAGCCCTTTCAGGCTTATGGTGAAAAAGGAAATATCCACTAATAAAATCTGGACAGAATCTTTCTGTGAAACTTCTTTGTGATGTGTGCATTCGACTCACATTGTTGAACCATCATTTTGATTGAGCAGTTTAGAAACAGACTTTTTGTAGAATCTTCAAAGGGATTTCTTAAGCAGTTTATGGCTTATGGTGAAAAAGGAAATATCCACAAATAAAATCTAGACAGAAGCTTTCTGAGACACTTTTTTTGTGATGTGAGGATTCATCTCACAGAGTTGAAACTTTCTTTTGATTGAACAGTTTGTAAATTGTCTTTTTGTAGAATCTGCAAAGGGATATTTTTAAGTGGTTTATGGCTTATGGTGAAAAAGGAAATATCCACAAATAAAATCTAGACAGAAGATTTCTGAGACACTTTTTTGTGATGTGAGCATTCATATCACAGTGTTGAAACTTTCTTTTGATTGAGCAGTTTGTAAATTGTCTTTTTGGAACATCCGCAAAGGGATATTTGTGAGCGGTTTGAGGCCTAAGGTGAGAAAGTAAATATATTCAGGTAAAAACTAGACAGAATCTTTCTGAGAAACTTCTTTGTTATGTCAGCATGTATCTCACAGTTTTGAACCAATATTTTGATTGAGCAGTTAGGAAACAGTCTTTCTGTAGAATCTGCAAAGGGACATTTTTGAAAGCTTTTAGGCTAATGGTGAAAAAGGAAATATATTCATATAAAAACTAGACAGAAGCTTTCTGAGAAACTTCTATTTGATGTGTGCATTCATCTCACAGAGTTGAACGTTTCTTTTAATTGAGCTGTTTGGAAAGAGTCTTTTGTAGATCTGTGAATGGATATTTGTGTGTGGTTTGAGCCCTATGGTGAAAAGGGAAATGTCTACAAATACATACTAGACAGAATATTCCTGAGAAACTTCTTTATGATGTCTGCATTCATCTCACGGAGTTGAACCTTTCTTTTGATTGAGCAGTTTGGAAACAGTCTTTTTGTAGAATCTTCAAAATGATATTTGTGAACGATTTGAGGCTTATGTTGAAAAAGGAAATATCTTCACATAAAAAATAGACAGAAACTTTCTGAGAAGCTTTTTTGTGATGTGTACATTCATCTCACAGATTTCAACGTTGCTGTTGATTGAGAAGTTTGGAAACAGTCTTTTTGTAGATTCTGCAAAGGGATATTACTTTCTGAGAAGCTTTTTTGTGATGTGTGCATTCGTCTCACAGATTTCAACATTGCTGTTGATTGACCAGTTTGGAAACATTCTTTTTGTAGATTCCGCAAAGGGATATTTGTGAGTGGTTTGAGGCTTATGGTGAAAAACGAAATATCCACAAATAAAATCTACACAGAAGCTTTCTGAGAAACTTCTTTGTCATGTGTGCATTCATTTCACAGTGTTGAACTTTACTTTTGATTGAACAGTTTGGAAACCGTCTTTTTGGAGCATCTGCAAAGGGATATTTGTGAGTGGCTTAAGGCATATTGTGAGAAAATAAATATATTCACATAAAAACTATACAGAATATTTCTGAGAAACTTCTTTGTGACGTATGCATTTATGTCACAGAGTTGAACCGTTCTCTTGATTGAGCAGTTTGGAAACAGTCTTTTTGTAGAATCTGCAAAGGGATATTTGTGAGCGGTAGGAGGCCTATGGTGAAAAAGGAAATATCTTCACATAAAAACTAGACAGAAGATTTCTGAGAAACCTCTTTGTGATGTGTGCATTCATCTCTCAGAGTTGAACTTCTCTTTTCATTGAGCAGTTTGGAAACACACTTTCTGTAGAATCTGAAAACTGATATTTCTGAAGGCTTTGAAGCTTATGGTGAAAAAGGAAATATCATCTGATAACAACTAGACAGAAGCTTTCTGACAAAATTCTTTGTGATGTGTGCATTCACCTCACAGATATGAACCTTCCTTTTGATGGAGAACTTTGGAAACCATCTTCTTGTAGAATCTGCAAAGGGACATTTGAGAGAGTTTTGAGGTCTATGGTGAAAAAGGAAATATCTTCACATAAAACCTAGACAGAAGCTTTGTTAGAAACATTTTTGTGATGTGTTCATTCATCTCACCGAGTTGAACCTTCCTTTGATAAAACAGTTTGGAAACAACTTTTTGTAGAATCTGCAAGTGGATATTTGGTGTGCTTTGAGGCCTATTGTGGAAAAGGAAATATCTTCACATAAAAACTAGAGAGAAGCATTCTGAGATACTTCTTTGTGATGTGTGCATTTATCTCACAGAGTTGAACCTTTCTTTTGATTGAGCAGTTTTGAAACACTCTTTTTGAAGAATCTGCAAGTGGATATTTAGAGCGCTTTGCAGCCTCTACTGGAAAAGGAAATATCTTCACATAAAAACTAGACAGAAGCTTTCTGAGAAACTTCTTTGTGATGTGTGCATTCATCTCACAGAGTTGAATCTTTGTTTTGATTGAGCAGTTTGGGAGCTGTCTTTTTGTATAATCTGCAAAGTGATATTTGTGAACAATTTGAGATTTATGGTGAAAAAGGGAAGATCTTCACAAAAAAACTAGACAGAAGCATTCTGAGAAACTTCGTCATGTTGTGTGTTTTCATCTCACAGAGTTGAACCTTTCCTTTCATTGAGCAGTTTGGAAACAGTCCTTATGTAGAATCTGCACAGGGACATTTTTTAGCAATTTGAGGCCTATGGTGTAAAAGGAAATATCTTCACATAAAAACTAGACAGAAACATTCTGAGAAACTTCTTTGTGATGTGTGCATTCAGCTCACAGTGTTGAACCCTTCTTTAGATTGAGCAGTTTGGAAACAGTGTTTTTGTAGAATCTGCAAAGGGATATCTATGAGCCCTTTGAGGCCTATGGTGAAAGAGGAAATATCCACAAATAATATCTAGACAGAAGATCTCTGAGAAACTTCTTTGTGATGTGTGCATTCATCTCACAGAGTTGAATCTTCCTTTTGATTGAGAAGTTTGGAAACAGTCTTTTTGTAGAATCTGCATAGGGATATTTTTGAGCCCATTGAGGCCTATGTTGAAAAAGGAATTATCTTCACATAAAAACTAGACAGAAGGTTTCTGAGAAACTTCTTTGTGATGTGTGTGTTCATGTCACAGAGTTGAACCTCTCTTTTGATTGAGTAGTGTGAAAACAGTCTTTTTTAGAAACTGCAAGGAATATTTGTGAGCGGTTTGAAACCTATGGTGAAAAAGGAATTATCCACAAATAAAATATAAACAGAAGCTTTCTGAGAAACCTCTTTGTGATGTGTGCATTCATTTCACATAGTTGAACTTTTGTTTTGATTGAGTAGTTTTTAAACCGTCTTTTTGTACAATCTGCAAAGTGATATCTGTGAATGCTTTCAGGCTTATGGTGAAAAAGGAAATATCTTCACCTAAACCTATAAAGAAGCTTTCTGAGAAACTTCTTTAGGATGTACACATTCATCTCACAGAGTTGAACATTTATTTTGATTCACCAGTTCAAAAACAGTCTTTTTGTAGAATCTGTAAGGAGACATTTTTGAGCTCTTTGAGGCCTATGGTGAAATAGGAAATATCTTTACAAAAAAACTATACAGAAGCTTTCTGAGAAACTTCTCTGAGATGTGTGCATTCATCTCACAGAGTTAAAACTTTGCTTTGATTGAGCAGTTTGGAAACAGTCTTTTTGTAGAATCTGTAAAGGGATATTTGAAGGCGTTTTGAGACATATGGTGAAAAAGGAAATATCTTCACATAAAAACTAGACAGAAGCTTTCTGAGAAACTTCCCT